>NC_000003.12:130675270-130826786 GCF_000001405.40 Homo sapiens | reverse complement strand
ACCATAGATGAGCCGGTGTGATTTGGGCTTCCTGGACCACACCCATTATGACAGAAACCTATTGGCATTTCCAAGACTCAAGACAGGCTATGTGCTCTCTGTTCCATAAGAAGAAGGGGCTAACAAGGCCTCAGTTATGACATTCAGGAAAGAAAACTGATATTATCAGTGGGGAAAATCCACTTATAACCAGCCCAGCATGTGTTAGCTATTGGAACCACTGTGAGAACTCTCTGTAGCCCTTATGTGTGGTCTAGAATCTTCTTTGCAGTTGATGACTATGACACAATTCAGTTCTAAGTCCACAAAAATATATGTTTTAGCCAGAATTTCCTATATTAACTAGATTTTTTCTGCTATCCAAATTCATGTAGTTTACTTTCTACAGGATACTAGGTTATCAACAGCTTTTAGGGTTGCTCACTCAAACTTCATTCTAGGTTTTTTTTCCTTCCTAATTTTTTTTGGGGTGAGAGTTGGAGTTTGTCTGTTGTTTTGCTGAATTTTATCTCCACAACCAGCCAATTCCCCTTCCCCACTTCTCTTAACCCTCCTTTGGTCCCAAGGATTTTCTCTCCTCTGGAAACAAATGGACATCTCGGCTTCTCCATATTAGATTGATTGCCTAGCTGGCTCCCTGCATCAAAGAGAACTTTGGTCACAGGGCATACAGTAACTATTACTCCATCGTCCTGCCTGTGCATAGTTAGGTGATAGCACAAGTGCCACCCCTCCCCTTTCCAACAAAGAGAGAAACAAGATTAGAGTTCAGCACTTGGGCTATTATTTCATAAAGAGTTCAGTGCTTCAGCACAATTGCCTGATCTTTATCATCACAATTCAATTTTTCAGGATACACTGAAGAGAAAAAATCATGTTCAAGTTATCTTCCTCCTTGTACAAGAACATCCAGCAACACCCCCCTCCTCCCAATTCCCAGAGGAGGACAGCAGCCACTGCAATTACTGAATGCCATTAGAAATACCAAGATGAGTCCCCTCCATTTCAAGACTTGAGAGTTTTGTGCTTTTTCAGGCACAGAGAGTTGATCTGACTTTTCTTCTTCTGAAAGCTTTCTGCAGGGCCCTGCAGAATAACTTTTGCTTTGATTACCCAGTGATTTACAGCCCTTCTCATTTGCTTCTCATATCTCCTTTTTCCAGAGTATAGGGAGCTCTCCTTTTACTCTGAGGAGGCAACCTCTCCTGTTGCCTCAAAGCAATTTTTCTTATCATCTCCTGGAATTTCAAGGCCTATCTCCTTTATGCTCTTTTGATTCTCCTAAATAATGATTGTCTATTTTCTTTCTTCTTTCTTCCTGCTTCCTATCTTTCTCCCTCCCTTCCTTTTTTCCTTCCTTTCTCTCCTTTCTCTCTTCCCCTCCCTCCCTCCCTCCTCCCTGCCTTCCCTCCTTCATTTCTGTCTTTCTTTCTGTTTTTCTTTCTTTCTGACATCTGTGTTTTCATCACAGGGGCAGATTTAATATAAACACAGAGCACTGTAATTCTAATAGAGAAAGAAAATAATACATTCTTGATCTCATATGTACCTAGTTTGTATCTGCAAGTGGTCTTGTGAATTATACAGTTTTGTAGTAATAGTTGTCTCAGTATTCCTGATATGTCTGCAAAATAGCATGCCAATACCAGATATAAGAGAGATGTGTTAGCAGGGCTCCTCTCAGAAGCAAAGCTGAGACAAAGATTGAGTGCACATAGTCTATTTGGAATGTTGAGAGAGAAGGGCAGAAGAGAGAGAAAGAAATAATATAACGAAGCTAGTCTATAAAGGGACACTATTAAGGCAACTACCATAGTGTCCACCTGAAGTTTCATCCTGTAGAGAAGTGTTTTAAAATGGTGCAAAACGCATGCTTCATTATGATTCCAGTCAAGGGGCAAGGGAGCTGGAGTATTTATACATTGTACTTATTAAGTTTTGGTTAAAGGATACCACTGATGGGTTATGAGTTACCTAGGCACTTTGGATCTGCCCTGCATGGAGGCAAAGTGGGTTCCAGCAGTCTGAGGGCAGCCCTCTAACAAAGTTGTAGATGCTGACTGTTGGAAGGCAGGCTGGCATGCACCAAAGTGAGGCCATATGGAAGGGGCACTGGTGTATCTACTGTAGGGAATCAACGGAGCGAGGCTGGAGGGCTTAGATTAAAATCCCACTACCTATGCAACAAGCAACCAATTTGAAAGTCATAATGGTGGTGGACTATGTTGTGACCTCAAAGTTTTCTACAAACAGGTGGCCCAGGTAAGCAGATAGTCAGAGGAGTAGCCATTTGTCATTCTTCTAGCTGCCCAGCCCCTAAAACCTTTCCTACTGGGGAGCTCTACACCATTAAGTGACTTGGTAAAATGCTCTCATTCCAAAAGCCAAAAGGGCTGGCTAACATTTTCTTTCCTTGCTTCCTTGTAGCCAGGATATGGGCAGGTGATCTGGCCTTAGTCATTGAAAGACTCCTACCTGGGACTTCTAATCTTCAGCAAGTAAGGCAAAGATGAAGGAACTGTGTGTGGGGTTTTTCTTGATGGTGCTTTTGGGAGTGCAGGAGCAGAGGAGTCAGTGGTAGCAGCCTAACAGCAGTGATGCAAGTATGACCTTGCTTCCTAATTTGTGCCCATTTTCACATGTCCTTCCAGCAAATTTGTCTTCTGTTTTACTTAGCAAGTCTTGGCTTCTGTTGTCTGCCACTGAGAACAACTGACCTTTGAGAATAACAAAATTTGGAATGCAGGCCATGCCCTGCTCTGTGCAGACGACTTTTCTAGGATCTAGAGACAAGGATGAGAGAAATAAAGGCAATAGATAACAGATGTTTCGTCTTCAACAAACTCATAATCCGGTTGAACAGATAGATACAAAGTAAATTCATGCAAAAAAGCCTGAAATATACACACTTACATTATCTCATTTACATATGTTATCTCTTTTACTTAATTATCTTTTATATACTTGGGGTCATCTATCCTCAGAAACCCTGCCCAGGAAGTACTATTGCCTAGGATTTACAGAGGAAGAAACTGGGGCATGGAGGAATTAAGTAATATTCTCAGAATTCTACAGAGTTAAGTAATATTCCCTGAATGCTACAGTCAGGACATGACAAAATCGAGACTCAAACTCTATTGTGTCTACTGTGCCACGTGCCCTTCCCATTAGCATTCTGTTTGGGAGTACCTTGCTGTACATGGACAAGGGGCTAGAGCAGGGGTTGGCAGACTATGACCTACACGTTAAATCCAAACAGCCAATTCTTTTTGTAAATAACATTTAATTGGAGCACAAACATACTCATTTTCTTTTGTATTGTCTATGGCTGCTTTTGAGTTATAATAGCAGAATTAAGTAGTTGCAACACAGACCATATGGCCTGCAAGCCTAAAATATTTACTATCTGGCCCTTTTCAGAGAAAGTTTGCCAACCTCTGAGCTAGAACATAGATTTAAACAACTTAGTTTTGCTGAGTTAAGCTTCTCAGGGTCTTATAACTGGTGTCATCCGATCTGCACTATTCTAGGGACATTAATGACTATGTGATAAGTACAAAGCAATAGCCATGTGATTATAATATATTAATAACGATGATAATAACTGTCATTAATGAGGACTCCCTATGTTCAGGTTCTGTGATGAATGCTTCACTAATATGCTGTAACTAGCCTGATTTCAGGTTCAGAGAGGTTAAGTAAAATTGTGCAAGAGCAGAGAACTGTTAAGTGGCAAAGCTGGATTTACCCCACATCAGTCTGTCTCCAGAGGCTGGGTTTTAACTAGCATACTTTACTGTCTTTCACATCCATCATGAAGAGTGAAATCTAGAAAAAAAGAAAAGGCTAATTTTCTGAGCCTCTGTGGAGGCAGGCAGATCATCAAGGGCCACCTGAAGAAGCTGGTGTGAATGAGACAGTGAATGTCAGGTGATTCAGAGCAGGGAATGTTTGGTTGTGATGGTCACTTCTGAAGTTGTCAAGGTTCCACTTGTAACAAGGTTCCACTTGTAATTACCAGAGTTGCTTTAAGTTTTCTCAGTGAAACATGTTGACAAACCATTCAAGATAACATTGCTGTAGAAACCTAACAAAGATGAAACAGAAGCCAATTTAGTTCCTCATCCACTAACATTTGGCTTTCAAGAACTTCTGAAAATTTTGAATGACCCATCTCCCAAACCTTTACAGCTTCAATGATAATATGGAGAATTTTCCTGCTCTACCCATGCTAGTGCAGCAAGAGGGTGGATTGTGAATCCTCTTAAAGAGGATTTAAAATAGGCCTGCCTGGTCTTGGAATGTCAATTGCACAGTGCCCTGCCTTGTTGGGAGATTCAAGATAGTTCATGACAGTGATGCCAAGGGGCAACATCATTCCCTTGGCTTCAGCCTTACCTGCTCCCTGTGTTAAGGGAGCCTTTACTTACCCAAGGTGTTGGACACCCAAGGATGTAAGCAGCCTCAAAGCTTCCCACTGCACCCTAAAATATGCAGAGCTTGGCACTGGTTGCCCTCAAATTTTGGAATCCCAGTTCTGAACACAGAACTGCAATGTGAGTCTTAGAGTCTAAATTATGGCTATTAGCCTGGACACTTTCAAGGGCAGGGAGAACCTCTTACTTCTCTTGGTATTGTCTCTGCCTAGCATATTTAGCATATTGCTGGGCACAGAGTAGATCATAGAAAAAGATTTAGTGCACCACTGTATCAGCCTCAAGGAAAGTCGAGACAGGACAGCTGGCTGTATTTCTTCTTTATTCATGCATGGCATTCCCTGGGTTCCTGTGGGCTAGGGCCCAGGATCAGACTTCAACTCCTGAAACCCTTAGCCTGGTGCTCTGGGTCTCATGTACCCAGAAAAGAATAGTAATATTAATAATACAATAAAACAACTACCATTTTAGGAAGAGCTAAAATTTATTTGATGATTAAACCTACCTATAAGTAGATGTTATTATCCCCATAATATAGATGGGGAGAATTAGACTCAGAGAAAAAGAAAAAACTTGTTCCTAGATTACTGTATTAATTTTTTATTGCTACATAACAAATTACATACCAGAAATTTAGTGCCTTAAAACAACATACATCTATTACCTCAAAGTCCTCATGGGAGAAGTCTGGGCACGGCTGGTCTAGGTCTTCTACACAGGATCTCATAAGACTTCAATCAAAGTGTCAGATTGGATGTATCCTTACCTGAGTACTTGACTGGGGTAGAATCTGTTTCCAAGCTCATCCAGGTTGTTGGAAAAATTCATTTCCTTGCAGCTGTATGACTGAGGCCCCAACTTCTTACTGGCTTTCAGCTGGAGGTCCCCTTCAGGTCCTTGAGATGACCCACAGTTCCTCCCATATGGCCCTTTTCATAGATAGTTTATATGGCTGTTTGTTTTTTCAAAGCTAGCAAAGTCTCTCACCCTAGTTAACTAAGATGGAGTTTTATATATCATAACATAAATCATACATAAATCATAGGAGTGACATCAAATCGGCTTTGCCATATAATGCAACGTAATTACATTCCATCAGTAGTGACATTCCATCACATTTGCCATATTATGTTGGTTAGAAGCAAGTCAGACTTTCCACTTGCACTCAAAGGGAGAGGATTACATAAGGATGTAGGATTATGCAAGGGTGTGACTCATTGGAGGTGGCCTTAGGAAGTGCCCACTACAATTACATCACTGCTATGTGGCAGAGCAGGGATCAGAGCCATGCCACACTGCCTCCCTGGCACTTCTAGGTTCCCTCCTTTCTCCATCTGCCCCTTTTGCTACATGGAATTGTCCTGTCACATGAGTCTCAAGTCGTAGGATTAGAGACACCTTTGACTGCCCTCAAAGTCATGCTCATACTTTTTTATGATTGAATCCTTTCCTTTTTTCAATATAAACTCTCTTGAAAGAGGGTTTAAAACAGGCTTTCTTGTCTTGGAATGTAATTTACGTAGTACCCAGTCTTGTTGAGAGATTCCAGGTGGTTTATGATGATAAAACAACCAGCAGAGCCCTTAGAGTGAACCTAGGCAGATATACTATGAAAACTCAATACTCTCTTACATGGGCTGAATTCTATTTCCCCTAAGGACAGCTTCTATATACATGCAAACAAAGATTTAACAAATGTCCATAGAAGAAGAAAAAGACTAAAGGCTATTTTTCAGTTTAAGTCAGTTCAGAAATACTCATGTCTGGATATAATTTAAATTCCCAATGAAATGCAGTGGAGATAGATCAATGGCACAGCCTCTGTGAAGAAAATTGTCAACGCATGAGACACCTCTGTCAGAGTGTCCCATCATCTTTTTATTTCTGGGAAGACAGACCCTGTCTCATGACAGGGTCATGACAACCTTATCATAGAGGTTGGCATATATCTGTGGATGTGCCTGATTTCTTGGCCTTTTTTCATTTTGTCTAAATAGTGATACAGTATAGATCTGATTTGATGAGCAGACTCCACAGAGAGCTTTGTCTACTGTTTATTGGTTTGTGATGAAAAACAACTCTGCAGAAACATAAAGTGTGTTCTGCTCCTGAGTCTGAGACGGATTCCAAGTTCATTCAAACTCATAAAAAAAATTGAAAAAGGGAATAGAAACTCAAGCTGGTCTTCATAGGGAATAGGGATTGCTTTAGCAGGTATACTAAAGTTTTTCATCAAAAGTAAGTTAGGCAGCCCAAATACAATTTTTATAATATGCCAGTACATTGTACAGTGCTCCCATCAATCACAGCAGGATAATGCCACAGTAAAGAAAGGTCATGGAGGAAAGCAGAGAATTTAGCTGAGCTGAATTTATTAAAATACTGTAGAAGCAGATAAAGGCAGTCCATGCAAAGCTCAAGTCTATACAATACTATTGTGTGTATAAAAGAAGACAAGGTATTTACTTTTTGCCACCCAAACTTTAAAAAATACATACAATTTACAAAACCGTGTTGCTTTTTAAATTGCTTTTGAATTGGGGGAACTATTTATTTAAGCAGGTTAAACCAAGGAAATAAATGACAAAATAATGTTCAGTATTTTATGTAATGAGATACTTGATTGAGTTCCACGAAAGAATGGTGATTACAGACTAGTCAGTGGGAAGCTGCTATTACACTAACCTTTTGCCATTCCTTTATGACACAGACCCACAGTGGAAAATGTAGTTGTTATTTTTGAAAGTGGATCCTGATTCTTACAGGACTTGATTGCTAGGGGCATGGGGGATAGCAGTGAGGAGGAGAAGAAGGGAGGGAGAGAAGATCCAGAAGTTTAGAAAGTTAGACCTAGTATGACTGGGCACTGGCTGGGGTACAGGTGAAGGCAAATATCCCCCTCTACCCAACTCCCCTACCCTGATCCAATATTAGAGAAGAGTTGTGGAAGAAAAAAGAAAAGGTGAGATTGGTAATTATTTGATTCCTTAGGATACCTCTGCTATAATAGAAAACTAAATTGAGGCAACAAAATCATGAAATACCTCCTATAATAAGAAGTTGGAGGAAGGAGAATCTCAGTATGAGGTGGCACTCTAAAATTCTCCTGGCGTTCTCCTCCAGCTGCAAGGTGGTAGCTACTGCTCCAAGCATCTTATCCTTACAGGATGCAGGGTGGGGGCTGGGGGAAGGTATGCACAGAAACAGTAAAAGGAATGAGTCTCACATGACCACAAGAAGCCAAAACACAGAGCAGAACTGGAAATTGTCCATGAAAAGATTGTCAAACTCTGTTAAATATTTGAAGGGATTTATTCTGAGCCAAATATGAGTGACCAATGGCCTGTGATACAGCCCTCGGGAGAGCCTGAGAACATGTGCCTGAGGTGGTCAGGCTACAACTCACAACTTGGCTTTATACATTTTAGGGACACATATCAATCAATGCGTGTAAGATGTATTATATTGGTTTGATCTGGAAAGCAGAAAAACTGAAAGCCAGGACAAGGGGGCTTCCCAGTCATAGGCAGATTCAAAGATTTTCTGATTGGCAATTGGTTGAAAGTGTTGTTATCTAAAGACCTGGAATCAATAGAAAGGAATGTCTGAATTACAATAAGGGGTGGTGGAGGCCAAGGTTTTACCACGCAGATGAAGCGTCCGGGTTTCAAAGAGAATAGATTATAAATGTTTCTTATCAGATTTAAAGAGGCTATTCTATTAGTCTTAAGGTCTGTGTTGATGTGGATGCTGGTCAGCTGTGCCTGAATTCCAAAAGGGAGAAGGGCATAATAAGGCATGAATTACTCCCTCTTCCCATCATGGCCTGAACTAGTTTTTTGGGTTAACTTTGGAATGCCCTCGGCTGAGAGGGGTCCATTCAGATGGTTGGAGTGTTAGATATGAGTTCTAAATTTCTTTTCAAAGAATTAATGTGTCAGTATGTTCAATTCTTTGCCTTCTACTTTTAAACTTAACTTCCTCATAAAGCAACCTTTTTTGATTACCTACTCCACCCTGACTCATTCTGATTACCTGCTCCACCCTGACTCATTCCAATTACCTGCTACCGGTTCTGCCCTGACTCCCGCCAAAGCACTCACCCTGTCATTCTCTTTAAAGTAGCCAATTGGAATTACTTTAGCCTGTGCAGTCTAACCCTAGCCAATGGGGGAATGGCACAGCAGCAGGGTCCATGTGCATCAGGGATAAGAACTCCTTCCCCTCCCTTGTCCAAGTGTGTGCTCACCATTGTTCCATCTGTAAGGGCGCACCCTTCTATAGAAGTAACTTGCCTTGCTGAGAATTAAAAGGAAAACTTTATATTCGAGTGCTATTCCTTTTGCAGCACTGAAACTTTACATATAACAGGAGGATCTTTGAATTTTATTTTTTGTTTATAAAATAAAATATCCTTTTATAAATGGAAGGAGTATGGCTTGGATTTAAAGAGGATGGGAAGAAGGGAGGAGAGAAGTGGGGGAGGCAAGTATGAATTCTGGCAAAGTGCTCTGATCTACCCTTGATAGATGCCATTATTTGGAGGAAGCAAAAGAAAAACCAATCACATGCAATTTACTTCCAATTCAAATATTTGGATTTATAGAAAACTTGGATATAGGCCCGACTAGGGCCAGAATAAGCTTTCAGGATTGTAGTTAAGGCTCTCATCAGAGCTATGAGTAAAAGCTACACAATGGCTCAATTCAAACATTTTAAAAAGTAGAAAGAATCCCAATCCCATTATATAATTTTCGTAGAACCCCAAATTTCAATTCACAAAGGCTCATAGGATAATTCCCCTCTGTGGTATTTGTCAGAGTCTCTCTTCTCATGAATTTATTTTCTTCTTCCTTGTTAGAGCAATGCCATACTTTTCAGCCTTGTTTTTTTTCTTCTCATTTTAGGCCTCAAATTTTTTTCTGTCTAGCTCAGCACTGATGCTCACTCACTTTTCAGGGAAACAAATTATTTCAATATGAGTATGAACTTGTCAGACCAAGACCCCAGGAATACTGCTTGTTTTTAGGAAGAGAATTCCAGCATACAGCTGTGGCTTGAAAACTTTTAAACATCCTCGTATGTTTACGTGGCAGAACTGACAGGCACAGGTGAGATTTCCGACACAGACGAGCTTCCAGAGGGGTGGTATAGGATGATGAGTGAGATGCAGACTCTGGACTCAGACTGCCTGGGTTTAACATTTGATAAAATTATGACCTATTCTGTGTGGGATGTTGCAAGCTGTGAAATCATATGTAATCATTTTGTCATCTGTAAAATGTGGATGATGTCATTAGCTACCTCATAGAATTGTTGTGAGGATTAGAGTTAAATATCACCAAATCCCAACTACTTACCATCTCCATTAATACCTATCAATGTTGTCTAAGCTGTCATCATCTCTTTATGGGTCACAATGTCCTCACTAGTCTCTTTGTCTTTACCTTTGCCCAGCCACACAGCAGCCAGATGTATTCTTTTGTAATGTAAATCAGATGTAATGTCATCCTTCCGCTCACCACCCTGCAAAAGCTCTCCATCTCAGTCACTGGAAAGATAAAGTCTTCACAATGGCCTTATAGGGTCTTATGGACCCTAAATGACCAGGCCTTTCATGATCTCTCTGACCTTGTCTCCTGTCGGCTTTTCCTTCCCTCACCTATTCCAGTCACACTGGCCTCCTTGCTGTCTTTGAACACACCAGCTGTTCTTCTGCCTTAGAGGATTCACTCTGGCTGTTCCCTCTGCTTAGAATGTTCTTTCTTCAGATATCTACATAGTTCACTCCATCTTCCCCTCCCTCCCCTTTTGGACAGCTTTATTGAGACAGAATTTACATGTCATAAAATTCACCTGCTTTAAATACACACTTCAGGCCTGGCACAGTGGCTCACACCTGTAATCCCAGCACTTTGGGAGGCTGAGGTGGGTGGATCACTTGAGGCCAGGAGTTCAAGACCAGCCTGGCCAATATGGTGAAACCACATCTCTACTAAAAATACAAAAATTAGCCAGGCATGGTTGTGCATACCGGTAATCCCAGCTACTTGGGAGGCTGAGGCAGGAGGATTGCTTGAACCCAGGAGGCAAAGGTTGCAGTGAGCCGAGATCATGCCACTGCCCTCCAGCCTGGGTGACAGAGTGAGACTGTGTCTCAAAAAAATAAAATAAAATAAAAATAAAAATAAATACACACTTCATTGGTTCGTAGCATATTTACAGAGTCGTGCAATTATCACCACAATCAATTTAGAACATTTTCATCACCTCAAAAAGAATCCTTGTACACTTTAGCTAGCATTCTTCACTTCTTCTGTCCCTCCCAGCACTTAGTGTGTTTTCAAGGTTCTTTCATGTTGTAGCATGTATCAGTACTTCATTTCTTTTTATGGTCTCATAATATTTGTTGTATGGATCTCTACCACATTTTTTTTATCCATTCACCCCTTGATGGAGTTTCCACTTTTTGGTTATTATAAATAATGCTGCTATGAACATTCATGTGTAGATCTTTGTGTTAACATATTTTCAGTTGTCTTGGGTATATACCTAGTAGTGGAATTGCAGGGTGATATGGTAATCTAGCTTTAATCTTTTGAGGAACTGCCAAATTGTTTTCCAGAGTGGTTGTACTATTTCACATCTCCACCAGCAGTATAAGAGGGTTCCAATTTCTCCACGTCCTCTCCCATACTTATTTGATTCTAGCCACTCTGGTGAATGTACAGTAGGTTTTGATTTGCATTTCCCTAATAATTAATGATATTGAGCATCTTTTTATCTGCTTATTGGCCATTTATATACCTCCTTTGGAGAAATATCTATTCAAATTCTTTGCCCATTTTAAATTCTGTGACTTGTCTTCTTGTAATTGAGTTGTAAGAGTACTTTATACGTTCTGGAAACAAGACCCTTATATATGTGATTTGGAGATATTTTCTTCCAATCTATGCATCCTTTTGAGAGGTGACAATGTGCCAGCAGCCCTCACTTGCTCTCAGCGCCTCCTCGGCCTCAGCATCCGCTCTGGCCATGCTCGAGGAGCCCTTCAGCCCATCGCTGCACCGTGGGAGCCCCTCTCTGGGCTGGCCAAGGCCAGAGCCGGCTCCCTCTGCTTGCGGGGAGGTGTGGAGGGAGAGGCACGGGCAGGAACCAGGGCTGCATGCGGTGCTCGTGAGCCAGCGTGAGTTCCAGGTGGGCACATGCTCTGCAGGCCCCGCACTCAGAGCAGCCAGCCAGCACCACCGGCCCAGGGCAGTGAGGGGCTTAGCACCCGTGCCAGCAGCTGCGGAGGGGGTGCCGGGTTCCCTAGCACTGCCGGCACACTTTCGCCATGCTTGAATTCTTGCTGGGCCTCAGCCGCCTCCCCTTGCGGGGCAGGGCTCGGGACCTGCAGCCTGCCATGCCCAAGCACCGCACCACCCCCCACCCCGCCCCACTGCTGCAGTGGGCTCCCGCGCAGCCCGAGCCTCCCCGACCCATCGACTGCCCAGGGGCTGGGGAGTACGGGCACCCCGCACGGGACTGGCAGGCAGCTCCACCCACGGCCCTGGTGCGGGATCCACTGGGCGAAGCCAGCTGGGCTTCTGAGTCAAGTGGGGACTTGGAGAACTTTTATGTCTAGCTGGAGGATTGTATATGCACCAGTCAGTACCCTGTGTCTAGCTCAAGGTTTGTAAACATACCAATCTGTGCTCTGTGTCTAGCTCATCTAGTGGGGACTTGGAGAACTTTTATGTCTAGCTAAAGGATTGTAAATGCACCAGTCAGCACCCTGTGTCTAGCTCAAGGTTTGTAAATGCTCCAATCAGTGCTCTGTGTCTAGCTAATCTAGTGGGGACTTGGAGAACCTTTATGTCTAGCTAAAGGATTGTAAATGCACCAATCAGTGCTCTGTGTCTAGCTCAAGGTTTGTAAATGCACCAATCAGTGCTCTGTGTCTAGCTAATCTAGTGGGGACTTGGAGAACCTTTATGTCTAGCTAAAGGATTGTAAATACACCAATCACTACTCTGTGTCTAGCTCAAGGTTTGTAAACGCACCAGTCAGTGCTCTGTGTCTAGCTAATCTAGTGGGGACTTGGAGAACTTTTGTGTCTAGCTCAGAGATTGTAAATGCACCAATCAGCACCCTGTCAAAACGGACCAATCAGCTCTCTGAAAAATGGACCAATCAGCAGTATGTGGGTGGGCCCAGATAAGGGAATAAAAGCAGGCTGCCCCAGCCAGCAGCCGCAACCTGCTGGGGTCTGCTTCCGAAGTGTGGAATCATTGATCTTTTGCTCTGTGCAGTAAATCTTGCTGCTGTTCATGCTTTGGGTCCGCACAGCCTTTATGAGCTGTAACACTTACTGCAAAGGTCTGTAGCTTCACTCTTGAGGCGAGTGAGACCACCAACCCACCAGGAGGAAAGAACAACTCTGGACGTGCTGTCTTAAGAGCAGTAACACTCACTGCGAAGGTCTGCAGCTTCACTCCTGAAGCCAGCGAGACCACAAACCCACCAGAAGGAATAAACTCTGAACACATCTGAACATCAGAAGGAGCAAACTCTGGACACACCATCTTTAAGAACTGTAACACTCACCGTGAGGGTCCACAGGTTCATTCTTGAAGTCAGTGAGACCAAGAACCCACCAATTTCGGACACACTTTCACTTTCTTGATGTCCTTTAAAATGCAAAAGTTTTAAATTTTGATCAAGTCCAATTTATTAATGTTTTATTGCATGAGCTTTTGGTGTTATATCTAACAAATCATTACCCAGTCCAAGTTTGTGAAGATTTACACCTACATTTTCTTCTAAGTATTTCATAATTTTGGTTCTTACATTTAAACTTATGATTCATTTTGAGTTAATTTTTTTTGTATAATGTGAGATAGAGGTCCAAATTTATATTTTTGCATGTGAATATACAGTAGTCCCAGCACCATTTGTTGAAGAGGCTATTTTACCAACATTAAATTACTTTTGCACCTTTGTCAAAAATTAGTTAACTGTAAGTGCAAGTAGTTTATTTCTGGGCTCAATTCTATTCCATTTATTTATATATCTATCCTTATGCCACACTGTCTTGATTACTGTAGCTTTATAGTCATTGTGAATTCTCCAAGTCTGTTCTTTTCTAAGATTATTTTTGTTCTTCTGGGTCCTTTGCATTGACATATACATTTTAGCATCAATTTATCAATTTTTGTAAAAAGAAAGCTATGATTTTTATAGGGATTGTGCTAAACCTATAGATCAATTTGGGAAGTATTGCCTTCTTAGCAACATTAAGTTTTCCAATCTGTGAACATGGAAATGTCTTTCTATATTATTTAGGCCTCCTTTAATTGCTTTCAGTATTTTTGTAGCTTTCAGTGTTCAAGTCTTCTACTGCTAAACTTATTAGTAAATACTGTATTTTATTCTTTTTGGTGCTATTGTTAATGGATATTGTTTCTTAATTTCATCTTTGGACTGTTTATTGCTAGCTTATAGAAATACAATTTACTTTTGTATATTAATCTTACATCCTTAAACTTTGTCAAACTCATTTATTAGTTCTAGTAGTTTAAGTGGATTTCTTAGAATTTTCTGTATATAAGATTATGGCACTTACAAATAAAGAATGTTTTATTCTTTCTTTCCAATATGGATTCCTTTTACTTCTTTGTCTGGCTTAATTGTCCTGGTTAGAATCCCCACTACCATGTTGAATGGAAGTGGCGAGAATGGACATCCTTATCTTATTCCTGATCTTTGGGGGAAACCATTTATTCTTTCATCTTTAAGTTTAATATTAGCTGTGGGTTTTTAGTAGATGCCCTTTATCAGGTTGAGGAAGTTCTTTTATATTCCTAGTTGCTTGAGTATTTTTTATCACGAATGAATGTTGCCTCACTCTCTTCTTGTCTTAGCTGAAATGCTGCATTCTCAGAAAGGTCCACTTTGGCCTCTCTATTTAAAGTATAATCTGCTTCCACCCACCCATGTCCCTCACCTTACTCTACTTTGCTTTTTTCCATTATAGCTGTAATCATCTTCTAATATACCAATGATTGTACTTATTTATTTATTTTTTACTGTGTCCTTTTGCTAAAATACATGCTCTATAAAGCCAGACATCATTTTCTGGTTTTTTTGTTTGTTTTAACTGATGTATCCCAAATGTCTTGAGTGATGCACATAGCAGGAGTTCAATAAATATTTGTTGAGTAAATATATTAATATAAAATGCTTGAGAACAGCATTTTTCAAATAGTAATATGGCTGTGAGGGTGATCTGGTTGCAACATCTGTCACCCCATTGATCACCAGGGTTGATCTGGCTGATCAGGCCGGCCAGGCTGGCTAGGAGGGTGTCTCCTTCCCTCTCTGCTCCATGTGCATCCCTCCTGAAGCTGTACATGTAGAGGAAGATGATTACCTTTCTTGAGAGTAGAGGACCATTATTTGATCAAGGGAATATGAGTAGCTGCACTCCCCTGCTAGACTCTCTAACCAAGCTCTCAAATAGTAACCACTACATAATTTTTTTTTTCCTGCAGTGAGAGAGCAATTCAAACCTAGTGCTAAAATCATCTTATTGTCCAGATCCACAGGTCCTTGCCAAAAATGCTTTTAAGCTTCCTGAATGCTTTTTTCTTAAACCACTAGGTATAAAAAATTTCTCTTACCATCGGGAGCTTTGGTTTCATTACAAAATAAAGAAGGCCGGGTGCAGTAGCTTATGCCTATAATCCTAGCACTTTGGTAGGCTGAGGCAGGCAGATCACTTGAGCCCAGGAGTTTGAGACCACCCTGGGCAACATAGCCAGACCCCATCTCAAAAAAAAATAATAATAAAATAAAATAAAATAAAATAATCTTCCTATTTACTTCATAGATGGCATGAAAATGAAATGAAATAATATGTCATGTGTGATTCAAACTAGATAGAAGTTTCTGTCTCATATAATAATCTAGCACATTCAGGCCTCTCTGTTCTGTGAGGCAGCCCAGGCATCATGTTTCTACTATCTTGTTGTTTCTCAACCTCCTACAGTATTGCCTCTTGTATCACTTAGGTATTGATGCATAACAAGCTACCCGAAAAGTTAATGACTTAAAACAATTTTTTTTTCTGCTTATTGTGGTTTTTAGGTGGTTCAGATATTTAGTCTGAACTCAGCTATATGGTCTCTTCTACTGATATCATCTGGGATCACTCATGCAGCTGGACTTATCTGGTGGCTTGACTGGGGCTGGATGATCTAAGTGGCCTACTTACTTGCTGGGTATCAACCAGGCATCTCTCTCCATGTGGTCTGTCATCATGAAGGAGGCTAGGCCAGGTGTTTTTACATGGCAGTCACATAGCAGTCACAGGGTTTCAAGAGAGAAAAAGTAGAAGTCATATGGTACCCTGAGACCTCTTGAGAGCTCTCCATAGGTCAGCTGAGGCCTCAGTTAAGAACACATTGCAGGCCAGCTTCTCCCTCTTCCCAATTCTGCCCTTCTCACACCCTTCCCATGTATCTTGTTTATTTATTTATTTTTTAATTTTTTAATTTTATTATTATTATACTTTAAGTTTTAGGGTACATGTGCACAAAGTGCAGGTTTGTTACATATGTATACATGTGCCATGTTGGTGTGCTGCACCCATTAACTCGTCATTTAGCATTAGGTATATCTACTAATGCTATACCTCCCCACTCCTCCCACCCCACAACAGTCCCCAGAGTGTGATGTTCCCCTTCCTGTGTCCATGTGTTCTCATTGTTCAATTCCCACCTATGAGTGAGAACATGCAGTGTTTGGTTTTTTGTCCTTGTGATAGTTTGCTGAGAATGATGGTTTCCAGTTTCATCCATGTCCCTACAAAGGATATGAACTCATCATTTTCTATGGCTGCATAGTATTCCATGGTGTATATGTGCCACATTTTCTTAATCCAGTCTACTGTTGTTGGACATTTAGGTTGGTTCCAAGTCTTTGCTATTGTGAATAGTGCCACTATAAACATATGTGTGCATGTGTCTTTATAGCAGCATGATTTATAATCCTTTGGGTATATACCCAGTAATGGGATGGCTGGGTCAAATGGTATTTCTAGTTCTAGATCCCTGAGGAATCGCCACACTGCCTTCCACAATGGTTGAACTAGTTTACAGTCCCACCAACAGTGTAAAAGTCTTCCTATTTCTCCACATGCCCCCCAGCACCTGTTGTTTCCTGACTTTTTAATGATCGCCATTCTAACTGGTGTGAGATGGTATGTCATCGTGGTTTTGATTTGCATTTCTCTGATGGCCAGTGATGATGAGCATTTTCTCATGTGTTTTTTGGCTGCATAAATGTCTTCTTTTGAGAAGTGTCTGTTCATATCCTTCACCCACTTTTTGATGGGGTTGTTTGTTTTTTTCTTGTAAATTTGTTTGAGTTCATTGTAGATTCTGGATATTAGCCCTTTCTCAGATTAGTAGGTTGCAAAAATTTTCTCCCATTCCGTAGGTTGCCTGTTCACTCTGATGGTAGTTTCTTTTGCTGTGCAGAAGCTCTTTAGTTTAATGAGATCCCATTTGTCAATTTTGGCTCTTGTTGCCATTGCTTTTGGTGTTTTAGACATGAAGTCCTTGCCCATGCCTATGTCCTGAATGGTATTGCCTAGGTTTTCTTCTGGGGTTTTTACAGTTTTAGGTCTAACATGTAAGTCTTTAATCCATCTTGAATTAATTTTTGTATAAGGTGTAAGGAAGGGATCCAGTTTCAGCTTTCTACATATGGCTAGCCAGTTTTCCCAGCACCATTTATTAAATAGGGAATCCTTTCCCCATTGCTTGTTTTTCTCAGGTTTGTCAAAGATCGGATAGTTGTAGATATGCGGCATTATTTCTGAGGGCTCTGTTCTGTTCCATTGGTCATATCTCTGTTTTGGTACCAGTACCATGCTGTTTTGGTTACTGTAGCCTTGTAGTGTAGTTTGAAGTCAGGTAGCATGATGCCTCCAGCTTTGTTCTTTTGGCTTAGGATTGACTTGGCGATGCGGGCTCTTTTTTGGTTCCATATGAACTTTAAAGTAGTTTTTTCCAATTCTGTGAAGAAAGTCATTGGTAGCTTGATGGGGATGGCATTGAATCTATAAATTACCTTGGGCAGTATGGCCATTTTCACGATATTGATTCTTCCTACCCATGAGCATGGAATGTTCTTCCATTTCTTTGTATCCTCTTTTATTTCATTGAGCAGTGGTTTATAGTTCTCCTTGAAGAGGTCCTTCACATCCCTTGTAAGCTGGATTCCTAGGTATTTTATTCTCTTTGAAGCAATTGTGAATGGGAGTTCACTCATGATTTGGCTCTCTGTTTGTCTGTTCTTGGTGTATAAGAATGCTTGTGATTTTTGCACACTAATTTTGTATCCTGAGACTTTGCTGAAGTTGCCTATCAGCTTGAGGAGATTTTGGGCTGAGATGATGGGGTTTTCTAGATATACAATCAGGTCATCTGCAAACAGGGACAATTTGACTTCCTCTTTTCCTAATTGAATACCCTTTATTTCCTTCTCCTGCCTAATTGCCCTGGCCAGAACTTCCAACACTATGTTGAATAGGAGTGGTGAGAGAGGGCATCCCTGTCTTGTGCCTGTTTTCAAAGGGAATGCTTCCAGTTTTTGCCCATTCAGTACGATATTGGCTGTGGGTTTGTCATAAATAGCTCTTATTATTTTGAGATATGTCCCATCAATACCTAATTTATTGAGAGTTTTTAGCATGAAGGGCTGTTGAATTTTGTCAAAGGCCTTTTCTGCATCTATTGAGATAATCATGTGGTTTTTGTCTTTGGTTCTGTTTATATGTTGGATTACATTTATTGATTTGTGTATGTTGAACCAGCCTTGCATCCCAGGGATGAAGCCCACTTGATCATGGTGGATAAGCTTTTTGATGTGCTGCTGGATTCGGTTTGCCAGTATTTTATTGAGGATTTTTGCATCAATGTTCATCAAGGATATTGGTCTAAAATTCTCTTTTCTTGTTGTGTCTCTGCCAGGCTTTGGTATCAGGATGATGCTGGCCTCATAAAATGAGTTAGGGAGGATTCCCTCTTTTTCTATTGATTGGAATAGTTTCAGAAGGAATGGTACCAGCTCCTCTTTGTACCTCTGGTAGAATTCAGCTGTGAATCCATCTGGTCCTGGACTTTTTCTGGTTGGTAAGCTATTGATTATTGCCTCAATTTCAGATCCTGTTATTGGTCTATTCAGAGATTCAACTTCTTCCTGGTTTAGTCTTGGGAGGATGTATGTGTCGAGGAATTTATCAATTTCTTCTAGATTTTCTAGTTTATTTGAGTAGAGGTGTTTATAGTATTCTCTGATGGTAGTTTGTATTTCTGTGGGATCGGTGGTGATATCCCCTTTATCATTTTTTATTGCTTCTATTTGATTCTTCTCTCTTTTCTTCTTTATTAGTCTTGCTAGTAGTCTATCGATTTTGTTGATCTTTTCAAAAAACCAGCTCCTGGATTCATTAATTTTTTGAA
This sequence comes from Homo sapiens, assembly GCF_000001405.40. Taxonomy (NCBI): domain Eukaryota; kingdom Metazoa; phylum Chordata; class Mammalia; order Primates; family Hominidae; genus Homo; species Homo sapiens. The sequence goes on along the minus strand of NC_000003.12, from coordinate 130,807,837 downwards.
GGGTTTTTTGTGTCTCTATTTCCTTCAGTTCTGCTCTGATCTTAGTTATTTCTTGCCTTCTGCTAGCTTTTGAATGTGTTTGCTCTTGCTTTTCTAGTTCTTTTATTTGTGATGTTAGGGTGTCAATTTTGGATCTTTCCTGCTTTCTCTTGTGGGCATTTAGTGCTGTAAATTTCCCTCTACACACCGCTTTGAATGTGTCCCAGAGATTCTGGTATGTTGTGTCTTTGTTTTCATTGGTTTCAGAGAACATCTTTATTTCTGCCTTCATTTCATTATTTACCCAGCAGTCATTCAGGAGCAAGTTGTTCAGTTTCCATGTAGTTGAGTGGTTTTGAGTGAGTTTCTTAATCCTCAGTTCTAGATTGCACTGTGGTCTGAGAGACAGTTTGTTATAATTTCTGTTCTTTTACATTTGCTGAGGAGTGCTTTACTTCCAACTATGTGGTCAATTTTGGAGTAGGTGCGGTGTGGTGCTGAAAAGAATGTATATTCTGTTGATTTGGGGTGGAGAGTTCTGTAGATGTCTATTAGGTCCGCTTGGTGCAGAGCTGAGTTCAATTCCTGGGTATCCTTGTTAACTTTCTGTCTTGTTGATCTGTCTAATGTTGACAGTGGGGTGTTGAAGTCTCCCATTATTATTGTGTGGGAGTCTAAGTCTCTTTGTAGGTCACTAAGGTCTTGGTTTATGACCAAGGACTTGCTTTATGAATCTGGACTTGCTTTATGAATCTGGGTGCTCCTGTATTGGGTGCATATATATTTAGGATAGTTAGCTCTTCTTGTTGAATTGATCCCTTTACCATTATGTAATGGCCTTCTTTGTCTCTTTTGATCTTTGTTGGTTTAAAGTCTGTTTTATCAGTGACTAGGATTGCAACCCCTGCCATTTTTGTTTTCCATTTGCTTGGTAGATCTTCCTCCATTGCTTTATTTTGAGCCTATGTGTGTCTCTGCACATGAGATGGGTTTCCTGAATACAGCACACAGATGGGTCTTGACTCTTTATCCAATTTGCCAGTCTGTGTCTTTTAATTGGAGCATTTAGCCCATTTACATTTAAAGTTAATATTGTTATGTGTGAATTTGATCCTATCATTATGATGTTAGCTCGTTATTTTTCTCGTTAGTTGATGCAGTTTCTTCCTAGCCTTGATGGTCTTTACAATTTGGCATGTTTTTGCAGTGGCTGGTACTGGTTGTTCCTTTCCATGTTTAGTGCTTCCTTCAGGAGTTCTTTTAGGGCAGGCCTGGTGGTGACCAAATCTCTCAGCATTTGCTTGTCCATAAAGGATTTTATTTCTCCTTCACTTATGAAGCTTAGTTTGGCTGGATAGGAGATTCTGGGTTGAAAATTCTTTTCTTTAAGAATGTTGAATATTGGTCCCCACTCTCTTCTGGCTTGTAGAATTTCTGCCGAGAGATCAGCTGTTGGTCTGATGGGCTTCCCTTTATGGGTAACCCGACCTTTCTCTCTGGCTGCCCTTAACATTTTTTCCTTCATTTCAACTTTGGTGAATCTGACAATTACGTGTCTTGGAGTTGCTCTTCTCGAGGAGTATCTTTGTGGTGTTCTCTGTATTTCCTGAATTTGAATGTTGGCCTGCCTTGCTAGACTGGGGAAGTTCTCCTGGATAATATCCTGCAGAGTGTTTTCCAACTTGGTTCCATTCTCCCTGTCACTTTCAGGTACACCAATCAGACGTAGGTTTGGTCTTTTCACATAGTCCCATATTTCTTGGAGGCTTTGTTCATTTCTTTTTATTCTTTTTTCTCTTAACTTCTCTTCTTGCTTCATTTCATTCGTCTTCCATCGCTGATACCCTTTCTTCCAGTTGGTCGCATCAGCTACTGAGGCTTCTGCATTCGTCACGTAGCTTTTGTGCCTTGGTTTTCAGCTCCATCAGGTCCTTTAAGGACTTTTCTGTATTGGTTATTCTAGTTATCCATTCGTCTAATTTTTTTTCAACGCTTTTAACTTCTTTGCCGTTGGTTCGAATTTCCTCCTGTAGCTCGGAGTAGTTTGATCTTCTGAAGCCTTCTTCTTTCAACTTGTCAAAGTCATTCTCCATCCAGCTTTGTTCCATTGCTGGTGAGGAGCTGCGTTCCTTTGGAGGAGGAGAGGCGCTCTGATTTTTAGAGTTTCCAGTTTTTCTGCTCTGTTTTTTTCCCATCTTTGTGGTTTTATCTACCTTTGGTCTTTGATGATGGTGACGTACAGATGGGTTTTTGGTGTGGATGTCCTTTCTGTTTGTTGGTTTTCCTTCTAGGAGACAGGACCCTCAGCTGCAGATCTGTTGGAGTTTGCTAGAGGTCCACTCCAGACCCTGTTTGCCTGGGTATCTGTAGTAGTGGCTGCAGAACAGCGGATATTTATGAACCACAGATGCTGCTGCCTGATCGTTCCTCTGGAAGTTTTGTCTCAGAGGAGTACCTGGCTGTGTGAGGTGTCAGTCCACCCCTACTGGGGGATGCCTCCCATTTAGGCTACTCGGGGGTCAGGGACCCACTTGAGGAGGCAGTCTGCCCGACCTCAGATCTCAAGCTGCGTGCTGGGAGAACCACTACTCTCTTCAAAGCTGTCAGAGAGGGACATTTAAGTCTGCAGAGGTTACTGCTGTCTTTTTGCTTGTCTGTGCCCTGCCCCCAGAGGTGGAGCCTACAGAGTCAGGCAGGCCTCCTTGAGCTGTGGTGGGCTTCACCCAGTTCGAGCTTCCTGGCCGCTTTGTTTACCTAATCAAACAACTAACTCGGCAATGGCAGGCGCCCCTCCCCCAGCCTAGCTGCCACCTTGCAGTTTGATCTCAGACTGCTGTGCTAGCAATGAGCTAGACTCCATGGGCATAGGACCCTCTGAGCCATGTGCGGGATATAATCTCCTGGTGTGCTGTTTTTTAAGCCTGTTGGAAAAGCACAGTATTAGGGTGGGAGTGACCCGATTTTCCAGGTGCCATCTGTCACTGCTTTCTTTGACTAGGAAAGGGAATTCCCTGACCCCTTGTGCTTCCCGAGTGTGGCGATGCCTTGCCCTGCTTCGGCTCATGCACGGTGCGCTGCACCCACTGTCCTGCACCTACTGTCTGGCACTCCCCAGTGAGATGAACCCGGTACCTCAGTTGGAAATGCAGAAATCACCCGTCTTCTGCATTGCTCATGCTGGGAGCTGTAGACCAGAGCTGTTCCTATTCGGCCATCTTGGCTCCTCTCCTGCCATGTATCTCTTAAGAGTACCTCCAATAAGTATTTTGCACACAACTCCCTGTTTCCAGAGAACTGATCCAAGACATATTTGAAATTACATGTGCATAAGGATAGTTTATAATAGCCGAGGATTGGAAACAACATAAATGCCCACAGAAGCAGACAGGTTAGATGGACTATGTGGCCTGTAAAGAGAATTATATATATCTCTGAAAATAATACTTATGGTAAAAGATATTGAGTAAAAAGTGCTTACTTTTTACCAGGCACTGTTCAAAGATCTTTATGTGTAGGTGCTCTTATTGTGCCCCGGTAAAGATGAGTAGAGAAAAGAATAAGGAAGAGCCTCCCAGGTAAATGAAATGGCATATTTGAAGGTGCAGAGGCAAGAGCAGTCTTGGAATATTTTTAAAACTGAAAAAATAATTATAGTATTATAGAAGCATAGAATGTGAGTGAAAAAAAGACCAGAGATGGGGCTGAAGAGTTAAGATGGAACTAGAAGGATGAGGTCACATGACTGCATTTCAGGGACCAATTAGGGGGTTGTAATTCTGATCCTAGTAAGAGACAACAATGGCTTGAACTAGGATAGTGATGAAAGGGAACAAATTCATGGAAATCCATAAGATAAAGTTAATCCAGTTTGGTAACTTAGGTGTGGGAAAAGGTGAGGCAGGTTTGGTTTTAAGTGTGTGCTAGTGATGGGGGTGCTGTTTGGTGTTAGGTTTAGACATACTAAGTTGAGGATCCCTCATAGACATCCACGTGGAGATGTCAGGAAGACAGGTGAGTATGTAAGTTTTTAATTCAGTCCAAAATGGAGATTGAGTTGGCAGTTTATACATGTTATTTAAAGGCAAGAGACTAGATGAGCTCACTCAGGATATGAGTGTTGGTAGAGAAGAGAGGATTGTTTGGTCAGTTATATACACAGTTATATATAAACTAATACACATATGAATAAAAGAAAATCTGTGAAACCTACCTTTAAGGGGAAGATGAAACAGAAGGAGCACAGCAAAGGTGACTGACTAGGAGTGTGGAGAAAATGGATAGACAATCAGGTGAGAGAATGTGCCCTAGAAATCCAGAGGTGAGAATGTTTAAGAGACCACTTGCTGAAGATATTTTCAAGGCAACTGAAAGCTGGCCCCTTGAGATTACCATTTATGAAGTCACTTGTGACCTCAACAAAAGCAGTTTTGGGTGGTGAAGACACACTCTTGTGTGATAGATTGAATAGTGGAAGTGGAGAGAAAAGGCATAGAATGAGGAAGAAAGAGAGGGAGGTAAGGAGAGTGGGAGGAAACAAAGGAAGGGAGGGAGGAAGGAATGAATGAAGGCAAATGAATGGGGTATGTGTGGAAAGGTGTCATTAGGAAGCAGCACATAGTATTCAATAACAAATTCCCCATCTAAAATAATGACTATGAAGATCATAGCTGTATGGTTTTGAGCAAGTTACTTAACCTCTACTTTCTTCAGTAAATGTGAGCATTAAATAGTTTAATATATTATGAAATGCTTATAATAGTGTCTGGTGCATACTAGGCACTGGAAAATGGAAATTCTTAAAATAAAATAGAAGCTATCATCATTATTTTTAGCATCATGGAACTATCATGAAGCACCACACTCTCAAAAGACAAGAAAGTGAGCCTCAATTTGAGATAGATTTAAAAAATCTCATTAGTACCGAAAACACATAGATAAATTAAATAAAGATTAGAGAAGAGCTGCAAGGGTAAGAATTTGTGTCCTTATTACTTGTTGTTATTTGTCATCCTAATTACCATCAATATTGTTTAACAGGCAGCCTGATCTCTGAGGGAAGCAGGGCGACTGAATTTCTGACTACAAGTGAAATAAATGTTCACTCCTGGGAGGTGTTATTTCTTTCGGCTCCAAGGAACCAGCTGGTGATATAAAAACAGTTAATTGGATTTTTCCACTTCCCTCAGAAAAAGCTTCTAAAAGAATTTATTCTCTTTTTATATGGGAATATTTTATTCACAAAAATCTTCTTTTAGTATCCATCTATTCAAGACTTTAAGAGGAGTTTGGTACTCCATCTATTGGATCCCCCCAGGCCATTTTGACCCGCGTGAATCCCAGTGATTATTGAATGATTTTTCTTGTTGGAAGGGAGGCAAATGCTTTTAAGAAGGTCAATACAAAATTTTTTCCAAAAAGGAAATAAATGTTAAAATAATTAATGGTTCTGTGAACTATAGCCCTTATTCAGAAAAAAAAAATCAGTTATAATACCTCTATTTACATTTGCGATGTCCAACACAATAGCCACATACGGCTGTTGAACACTTGAAATATGGCTAGTGGAGCTGAGACACTACATTTTAAATTTTATTTAATTTTAATTCACTTAAATTAAAAACTGATACTTGATTGAGTTATTTGAAAATTTTAAGTAAGTTTTGAACAACTTGGGCATGTGAATCTACTTTTCATTTCTTTTTTTTCCTAGCAGGCATTTATTTATTTAAAATTGTATATATTTCATGTACAAAGTGATCTTTTGATATATACATACATAGTGAAATTGCTACTGCAATCAAACAAATTAACTTATCTATCACTTCAAATAATTATCTTTAAAATTTGCTAGAATCTATTCTTCTAGCAAATTTTCAGTATACTATACAGTATTATTAACTATAGCCCCCATGCTATACATCAGATCTCTAGATTTATTTATCCTATGTAACCACAAGTTTGTACCCCGTAACCTACATCTGCCCATTTTCTCCCCGTCTCTGCCCTTGGTAAACACCATTCTACTCTCCGTTTCTATATATTTGACTTTTTTAAGACTTCACATGTAAGTGACATTATGCAGTATTTTTCTTTCTGTGTCTGGCTTATTTTACTTAACATAATATCTTCCAGGCTCATCCATGTTGTTGCAAATGGCAGGATCTCCTCCATTAGCAAAGGCTAATAATATTTCATTTTATATAAATGCCACAATTTGTTTTGCTTATTAGTCTCACTTTATTGTTTTTTAGCAAAAATGCTTAAAATAACAATATTTAAAATTAATAAGTCAAAGCATATTTTATTTATGTAGCGTCCATTTTAAATTATAATTTAATAAGTATGACATGAAATCTAAGATAGCCACTATAAGGTAGAATTATTCTCAACTGAACATATAGTTAATACAATTAACTAAATAGCTATCATTTTAACTTAATATTGCTGGACTTTTTAAAAAATAATGTCCATTTTTTTAATATGATTTACATTCTTTTTTTTTTTTTCTTTGAAACGGAGTCTCTCCGCGATGCCCAGGTTGGAGTGTAATGGTACAATCTTGACTTACTGCAACCTCTGCTTCCCAGGTTCAAGCGATTCTCCTGCTTCAGCCTCCCGAGTAGCTGGGACTACAGGCTCGCACCACCACGCCCGGTTAATTTTTATATTTTTAGTAGAGACGGGGGTTTCACCATATTGGCCAGGTTGTTCTCAAACTCCTTACATCAAGTGATCTGCCCACCTCAGCCTCCGAAAGTGCTGGGATTACAGGCATGAGCCACGACGCCTGGCCAATTTACATTCTTTACATATTTGCCTCCTGTTCTTTTGTATTTGCTTTTGGAGATTTAATACCACCAGGTGACTCATTTGGATTTTGTTCTTTGTCTTAGAAAATTAAAAGCAACCATGTGGTTAACTTCACTATTGCATGATTGACTGAAGGTGATTTAAATTTAGTTCTTGGGATACACATAGTTTGCTAAGAAACAGAATTGGCAATCACATGAACCTTTTGCTTTGTTTTCATTGAATCATTTATCTATTTTCTTGCAGTAAATATTTAATTAATCTTTGAATATTAAATACATCAAGAACCACTATACATTTCTTTGTTAATATTTGAACTAATCGTGTAACATTGATTTCAATGGTAATTATATTTTCTTTCAGAGACTGTATCTGATATATTTTTCATGAAAGAATAACCTTTGTGGGGTGAGAGCAAAACTTTAAAAGATACTAAAGTACGTTAATAGGTTTATTTGTGCCTTGGTTTCATTTTCGGGTCTCTTAATATTTATGAATATTGCAAATGTTGTGGGAATACAGTATGCATAATATGGGATCATAATGTGTTCAAATAGTTGAGTAGCCCTACAATAAAATCAAGAACAAAACAGAAAGAAGTTTAGAAATTATAACTGATAATTTTCAGAACTACAAAGGTAAAAGTCTTAACATTCTCTCATCAAATGGCTTTAAGTAAATTTCCTAACTTCACTTAGTCTGTCTCTTTACATGAAAATATGAATAACAGTACTTACAGGTTATTGTGATAATACAGTGAATATTGTATGTAAAATTGCCTGGCCTGGTTCCTATCACAGGTGTATTTAATAACAATTTTTTTCTTTTATTTTCTTTTTTTAAACAAACTGTAGAAATATTCCTTTTAATGGCTTCTCTACAGTTTGTAGCCATAAGGCAGGAACTATTTCTACTACTTTGACTATCTTTTATTTTCTTTTTCTTTATTAAAAATATTTTTTATTTCAATAGTTTTTGAGGTACAAGTGATTTTTGATTACATGGATGAATTGCATACTGGTGAAGTCTGAGATTTTAGTGCACCCATCATCCAAGTAATATACATTACACCCAATGTGAAGTGTTTGTTTTGTTTTTGTTTTTGTTTTTGAAACGGAGTCTCGCTCTGTCAACCAGGCTGGAGTGCAGTGCCGCGATCTCAGCTCACTGCAAGCTCCACCTCCCGGGTTCAAGCAATTCTCCTGCCTCAGCCTCCCGAGTAGCTGGGACTACAGGCGTCCACCACCAAGCCCGGCTAATTTTTTGTATTTTTAGTAGAGATGGGGTTTCACTTTGTTAGCCAGGATGGTCTCGATCTCCTGACCTCGTGATCTGCCCGCCATGGCCTGCAAAAGTGCTGGGATTACAGGCGTGAGCCACAACCAATATGAAGTTTTTATAGCTCACCCCACCTCCCACCATCCTCCTTCTGAGTCTCTGAAGTCCATTACACTACTCTGTATGCCTTTGAATACCCATAGCTTAGCTCCCACTTATAAATGAGAACATATGGTATTTAGTTTTCCATTCCTGAGTTACTTCACTTACAATAGTGGCCTCCAGTTCTATCCAAGTTGCTGCAAAAGACATTATTTTATTCTTTTTTATGGCTGAGTAGTATCCCATGGTGTATATATAGCACATTTTCTTTATCCACTCATTGGTCAATGGGCATTTAAGTTGATTTCATATCTTTACAATTATGAATTGTGCTGCAATAAACATACATATGCGGGTGTCTTTTTGATATAATGAGTTCGTTTCCTTTGGATAGATAACCAGTAGTGGGATTGCTGGATAGAATGGTAGATTTACTTTTAGTTCTTTAAAAAATGTTCATATTGTTTTCCATAGACGTTGTGCTAATTTACATTCCCACCAACAGTGTATAAGCATTCCACTTTAACCACATCCACACTAAGATCTACTGTCTTTTGAGTTTTATTTCATGACCATTATTGCAGGGGTAAGGTGGTATCTCATTGTGGTTTCAATTTTCATTTCCCTGATGATTAGCAATGTTGAGCATGTTTTCATATGTTTGTTGATCATTTGTATAACTTCTTTTGAGAAATGTCTGTTCATGTAATTTGCCCACTTTTGATGGAATTTTTTTACTTGCTGATTTGTTTGAGTTCCTTGTATATTCTGGATATTAGTCCTTTGTGAGATGCATAGTTTGCAAATACTTTCTTCCATTCTGTGGATTATTCATTTACTCTGATGATTATTTCTTTTGCAGTACAGAAGCATTTTAGTTTAACTAGGTCCCATTTATTTATTTTTGTTTTTGTTGCATTTGCTTTCAGGGTCTTAGTCATGAATTTTTTTGCCTAGATCAATGTCCAGAAAAGTTTTTCCTAGGATGTCTTCTAGAATTTTTATGGTTTCAGAGCTTAGATTTAAATCTTTGAGCCATCTTGAGTTGATTTTTGTATAAGGTGGAGAGATAGAGATCCTGTTTCATTCTTCTATATGTGGCTAGCCAGTTTTTGCAGCACCACTTATTAAATAGGGTTTCCCTTCCCCAATTTATATTTTTTTAATGCTTTGTCAAAGATCAGTTGGTTGTAGGTATTTGGCTTTATTTCTGGGTTCTCTATTCTGTTCTATTGGTCTATGTGTCTAGTTTTATACTGGTATCATGCTGTTTTCGTAACTATACTCTTGTAGAATAATTTAAAGTCTGGTAATGTGATGCCTCCATATTTATTCGTTTTGCTTAGGATTGATTTGGCTATTCAGGCTCTTTTTTGGTTCCATATAAATTTTAGGATTTTTTTTCTAATTCTGTGAAAAATGATGTTGGTATTTTGAGAAGAATTGAATCTGCAGACTGCTTTGGGCAGCATTGTCATTTTCATGATATTGATTCTTCCAATCTATGAGCATGAGATGTGTTTCCATTTGTTTGTGTCATGTATGATTTCCTTCAGCAGTATTTTGTAGTTATTTTTGCAGAGATCTTTCACCTCCTTGGTTACATATGTTCCTAGGTATTTTAATTATTTTTTGGCAGCTGTTGTAAAAGGAATTGAGATTGAGTTTTTGATTTGGCTCTCAGCTTGGTTGTTGTTGGTGTATAACAGTGCTACTGATTTGTGTACACTGAGTTTTTAATCTAAGACTTTACTGAAATTATTAATCAAATCTAGGAGTCTTTTGGAGGGAGTTCTTCAGGTTGAAATGAAACAATGCTAAACAGCAGTGTGAAAGCATTAAAAAGTATAAAACTCATTGGCAAAGAAGACAAAAAAGAGAATGCTTTATTACCATAACAGTAGTGGGTAAATCCATTATAATCCTACTATGGAAATTAAAAGACAAAAATATTAAAAACAACTATAACTAAAAAAGTTAATGGATATATACTATAAGAAGTTGCAAATTATGACTTCAATAGCATATAACACAGGGGGAGGAGAGGTAAAGGCAGAGTGTTCTTTCATGCAAGGGAAGTTAATTGTTATTAGCTTAAAATAGACTATCAAAGTATAAGATATTTTATATCAGGCCCTTGGTAACCACAAATAAAATAGTTATAGAAGTTCACAAAAGAAAAAGAGAAAGGAACCCAAACCTAGCAATATAAAAAAATGGCAAGAGAAAGAGGAACAAAAAAACCATGAGCCGGGTGCAGTGGCTCACGCCTGTAATCCCAGCACTTTGGTAGGCCGAGGCAGGCAGATCGCCTGAGGTCAGGAGTTCAAGACCAGCCCGGCCAACATGGTGAAACCCTGTCTCTACAAAAATACAAAAAAAATTAGCCAGGCATGATGGCTGGTGCCTGTAATACCAGCTACTCAGGGGGCTGAGGTGGGAGAATCGCTTGAAACGGGGAGGCGGAGTTTGCAGTGAACCAAGATCGCGCCATTGCACTCCAGCCTGGGCAACAGAACAAGACTCTGTCTCAAAAACAAACAAAGAAACAAACAACAACAACAACAACAACAACAAACAGAAAACAGTTATCAATATGACAATAGTAAATACTTTCTTATCAATAATTACTTTAAATGTAAATGGACTAAACCCAAAAAAGAGACACAGAATGGCCAAATAGATTAACAAAAACTGCATCCAACTGTATGCTACCTACAAAAGACTCTGTTTCAATTCGTGGACAAACAAACTGAAAATGAAGGGATAGAAAAAGATATTCCATGCAAATAGTAACCAAGAGAAAGCAGAAATGGCTATTCTTATGTCAAACAAGTAGACTTGAATTCAAAAACTGTCTCTAGAGACAAAGAAGTTCATTACATAATGATAAAGGATGAATTCAACAGGAAGATGTAATAACTGTAAATATTTGTGCACCCAACATCAGGGCACATAAGCATCTATAGCAAATATTGACAGATCTGAAAGAAGAAATTGACAGCAATGCAATAATAGAGGGAGACTTCAATATAGATAGAGCACTCATACAGAAAACTAAAAAGAAACATTAGACTTGAGCAACGGTATAGACCAAATGGACTTAGGCACATTTTAAAAATTATAGCAAAATATCTGGGAATTTGTCCAAAGAAAATATCAAAATGTAGAGAAAGTTTTATGCAGGATAAAATTCATGGCAGCTTCATTTGTAATCAGGAAAAATTGAAAATATTTTGTGCATACAATAGAGAAGTGGTTGGGTAAATTATAGAACATTATTTTAATTGAATTATCATGAAATTATTAAAAATATTCATGATGTTCACATAGCAATATGTAAAATGTTTATCAACCAATGCTAAATGAAAAAGGCAGAATACAAAATTTTATTTGTATTAAAATTTCAACAAATTTTAAGTTTTATATCCATAAAGACACAAACTGGAAACGGACATGAGAAAAGAATAGTTGAGTTGTTAGGCTAATGGAAATGTGTGTATGTTTCTTTATAAAAGGGGGACATTGTTTTGTATAATTATTATATAATAAACATTATGATTATTATAATATTTATATAATAAGTAAATATATAGTGGATCAGAAAAATAGGTTACAATGAGCAGAAAAACTTAAAAACTTTTTTTAGTAACTAAAAATGTTTCCAGAAAATAAAAATATCTGGATTGAATTAACTGAGTCTCTCCATTTATGTAATACGGGATGAAGTTTCTTTTCCTTCTAAAAGGGTACCAAGGCCAAATGTTCTTCTTGGAGTCACGTAACCCAGACAGAATCCTATTTAGTATATGTTCTGTTGGTGGTTTTAGAGAAAAGAAAATCTAAAAAGCATTTGGAAAAGAAGTGCTTTGATTGTTAGGAGTAAGACCAAGTAAAGACTGTCAGAAGTATTTGCAAATGTATGAAGAGCTGCATTCCTCATTAAGAGAGGGGAAAAGGGATGTCACCCAGAAGATAATTTTGTGCTAATGTAGGTGACAGCACTATGATGTGTCTCTCTCTTTTCCTGACCAGATTTTTCATTTTTCTTGTTCCAGTTCATTCTGACAATTATGTGCAGCCTAATTACTTTTTTTGGCTTGGCTTCAATTGAGGCCCTTTATCCCCTATTCCTCACTTAAACTCAACATTACATAATTGTTTGCATTTTTCCTTTTTAACCCCTTCCGATAACTGCTTTCATCAGTGAATTTCTACTGACTTTAAAGCAAAGGATATTCATTTTCTTATATTTTGAAAGCTAAGTAACCTTGTCTAAAATTAATCAGCAAGACTCGAAGTAGGGTTATAAAAATGTTATTAGCATATGGAAATCATTAATCATTGATATATTATAATGCATTCAACCCACACCACTTCATAAACCTGACTTTAGAGGAGAATTAAGTGATTTGTGGGACACAATTTGAATACTGAAGAAGGATAGATTGTTTTAATATTTTAACCTTGGAATAATTTTTAAGTGATAGGTTTGCAGGTGCTGGCACTTATTCTTTCCTTATATTTACATAATGTGCAGGAATATTTTTTATTCACCAATCATACTTAGCATTGCTCAAGCTAGAAGATGAGTGTTTTAGAGGCAGTTTGGCTTAACGTAAAGAGAGTAAGTTTTGGAATCAGAGAATACTGGGTTCTAATCCAATCTCTGCTATGGCATGCTTTAGGACAAGTTACTTAACCTCTTTGGTCTTGTTTTCTCATCTTAAAAATGTGAGTACTATCTCATTACATTGTAAGGAACATTAAATTAGCTAAAGTATGAAAACCACATAGACTCTGTCAGCACAGAGTACTCAGTTAATGGTAGCTATAGCAAGTATAGGACTCCACTGAGATTGTTACTCTGCTTTAACAACACATTCTAAGACACTAAAGAGCACCCAAAGAAGATAAGTACGTATCCTGAAGTAGAAAAACAGGTCGTTCTCAAGCAAGTTTTAAGAAATAAAAGGAATTCGAATTATTTGAAATAGACGTATGACAATTGAAGGCATGACCTAATAGACCTCTTCAAATACATGAGGAGGTGTTATGAAGACAAATAGGAATTCATACCATTTCAGTTGTATTCTGGATAAAGGAAAAATGAATTAAATCTCAATGAGGGGTTTATGCTCAACAAAATGGTCACTATTTTAACTGTGAAATCTTAGACCCAATTCTAGGAGAGATTGCAGAATTTCCTGAATGGACATGGGTAGTTGCCTATACAATGTCCATTTCCTCTTCCCCACCCCCAACCCCCCCCCCCTTTTTTTTTTTTTGAGACAGGTTCTCACTTTGCCACTCAGGCTGGAATGCAGTGGAGCGATCTTGGGTCACTGCAGCCTCAATCTCCTGGGCTCAAGAGTTCCTGCTGCCTCAGACCCCAAGTAGCTGGGACTACAGGCGTGTGCCACCATGCCCGGCTCCTTTTTTGTATTTTTTGGTAGAGACGGGGTTTCATCATGTCGCCCAGGCTGGTCTCCTGCTGAGCTCAAGCGATCCACCTGCCTTGGCCACCCAAAATTCTGGGATTACACGCGTGAGCCACTGTGCTCAGCCTTCCCTTTTTAATAGTACCCAGAATCTTCTATGCTTATCTATCCCTCCTTCAAATAGCCCAAAATTGTTTGGGAGGGAATCTCACTCTTTCCCTCATTCCAGGGGTGGATCCCAATTTCCTTATGTTAATGAACATATCCACCACGCAGGTGGTCGTGGGATTTAAGATGCCCAATCAAACTAAATTTCAAGACTCTTATTTAAATCGCTGGGAAATACATTCTCTTTCTTCAGAGTGGTTGGTGTAATATTCAGAGGTGAAGCCTGGAACTGTGGCAATCATTTCAGGATAATGAGGGAAGTTGGCCTAAAGGAGGAAGAGTAGAGAAACAAGAAGAAATTAGGACCTTGATGACATTGCAGAGTTTACCAGGCAAACCAACTGCAGCCCACTTGATCTTTGAATTTCCTGAGATATAAGCCCAAGTTTTTTCTAATGTTCAAGTTTATTTTCTCTTCTTGCAAGAGGGAGTCCTAATGGACATACAGAGGTCCTCCCTTCTGAAGTTTTGCCACATTTTCAAGTATGTTTGTGTTCTCCACAAAATGGGCTAAGAACATTCTCAGGGGTAGTGGTTATGAGTTGTGTTTATTTTAGATCTCCTACCACACCTAATGGCATGCCCTTTGTGCAGTAAACCCTCCAGAAATGTTTGTTTACTGAGGATCATGGCTGGCTGGCCCATTGTCAGATCATATTGTATCTATGATTCTCAGCAAGTGCACAGATTGGTTTATTGGTTATCTTCAAATCCTTTTCCCATGCGAGGCTGCCACTGTCATTATCTTTCAGACTGGGAAAATGGTTTCAGCAAATGAGTTTGCTACCTTTCATTTAGCTCTATGCCACTCCTGCGTTAGCCAGAACCTAGACTGTCTGGAAAAAAATAAGAGGTTTTAGGGGAATTCTACTAAAACCATCACAGCAGTCATAGCTCATTTTTAGGAGGTGCTAAATATCTATGGAAATAAAACTTGCAACTCCCAGAACTCTTAGAAAATTAATATTTTAATTCAACTTTGTGCATGGCTTGCTAGTGTAATATCACATATAATGGAAAAACTGAACCATTAGCTAATCTTCAAATAGTTTGTGATGTTAGCATTTAAACTACATCTATGGTAGGAAAAATTATGTATGATATAAATGTGATTAGCATAGTTTATCACATGCCATGGACTTCCAAAATCAGTGTTAGGTGAGTATCAAATCCTACTGTGTGTGATTCTACAATATCCTCCTATTCCTAGGTACTTGAGGATCCCTCTCATTGTTACATTTCTTCTACCCTGTCTTCTTATGAAGCTAAAGCCATGGCTTCCTTTTTCTTTTCCCAGATAAAAGCTTTTGACCAAAAGCTTTTGTAATTAATTTATGCATATATGTAATAATAATTTAGCGAAATCTTTGCCTCTCTGAATCTACTTTGGCATGACAAAAGCTATCTCCATCATTTCCTGTTTAAAAAGGCACACATTTTAAATCACGATTCCATCCTTGGCCCAATTCAGAGGTATATCTACTTTCAGGTGAAAGATTATGGAACTCAGGACAGGTTACAGAAAATGTCCTGGTTTGTATGACTCATGGTATTAATAGGATTGAAGTTCTTTGTGTTTGCACAAAACAAAAAACAAGGGCTGACAAAGTGCAGCCTTATTGCCAAGTTCCTGACCTTTTAAAGACTTGTAAAGATTGGGATATGTTCTCAGCATAGTGAAGATTCAAGGCCACTGAGAAAAACAAAACTATAAAATTCTGACAGTGACTTTTCCTCACAGTGTCTGCAATCCCTTTCCAAAGCTACCTGACAGCCTTCGGTATACTATAATGATTATTAAGGATTTTTTTCCTTTCTCCCCATTTGTAATAGCCTGTCTGGTTTCCTAGCCATATAGTCCCTTCCCTCATACCAGTCACAGGCTCTACTCTAAATAACAGGTAACACTTATTTAATGTATACCATATGAACCTCCCTCCTAGCTACTACATGTATTAATGCTATTTTCCTAACAATCCTATGAAGAAGATACTATTCTTATCCCCAATTTAGAGATGGAGAAATTGATACACAGAAAAGTTAAGTAGTTTGTCCAAGGCTATATAGCTAGCAAGTGGTGGGACCAGGATTTGAATCCAGGCAGATGAACTCTAGGAGTCTATACTATTAACCACTGTGCTCCACAGTCTTACAGCTGACTTCAGGTTCTAAGATCAAACTGACAAGCAAATAAGAAAAATTTAAGGCCAGATCAGCATCCTGTTGGCCTGCAGCTCAGACTTGATCTGCTTTGCCTTAGACCTCAGTTTTCATGATTGGGTATGTATTTCAACATCACCTCTTGCTCTCTCAAAGCATAGTTCCTGCACAAGATAGGTTTTTTTTTTTTTTTTTTTTTTTTGGAACTTATGTATGGGAAAGAATTCCCACAACCTGATGTTGGAGCTCCTGATCCTAGCTTGCTAAGCAATCTTTGCTTCCTTATCAGCTTGCAGACTCTGCAGCTTGCTATAGCCTGTTGCCTACTACCAAACCTCTCCATTCCTGACTTGGCCCAGTCTTTGGCCAGTTTATTAGCTGTCTACCTCTCTTAAGGCTGGCAGACAGCTCTCTGGATTTCCTTCATGTCTGTCAGGACAGCCCTAACACCTGGCTTGCCCAATGAGTGCATATTGTTTATGGTTTTTGTTACCCTCAAAACTGACCCAACCAGCCTCAGTTCTGACCCTTCCTTTTTTTGTCATTTCCCACTTATCTTCTTAGTGGGCTCTTCATCTGACTCCACCAAACTTTCCTCCCTCTACCTTTCCACCTTTCTTATGGAGCACATCATTTTCTGCCTCCTCTCTATTTTACTTATTTTTTTAAATCTTCATAATATCACCTTCTTTGGTTTCTCCTGGAAACATCTTATTTTCCCTTTTTTTACATTCCCTATTAATTGTTTCTATCTCAATTCTCACATACTCTTCTCCCGCTACAAACTAGATGGTTTGGAATCAGCAGTTTTCTGATCTTGAAAGAGTAGGTCTTTCACCTACGCTCTATATGCTGGAAAAACATCCACGCTTTAGACTCATGTTTCTGATTTGCAGTTTTCACAGCCTTAGTTTCCTCATCTGTGAAATAGGGACAATAATATTACTTCACAGAAACATTGTAAGGATTGCACAGGGTCATGTATTAGAAAGTACTTGAATAGTATATTACATTAAACAAATGTTAGGCATTATTAATACGAAGAATACTACAGGGCCTTTAAAATATAGAAGAATAAGTGATTTCTACTCTGCATCATAAACCAGCCCAAGAATTACAGCACTCTGTTTCTGTTCTTCAATGTTTATAGCAGATGTTGATATATAGAGCAGAAAGAACCAAATGCATTAGGAAGCTTAAGAGCTTGTAATAGCCATAGGCATTAGATATACAGGTCTCTGGAGACTCTCAACATCTTTGTCAAATTTTTCAGTACCTTTGTCAAGTTTCTTGCTTTCTTTACTGGACTGGGAATAAAAGTTTTTCTTAGATTAAATCAGACATTTTAAACTGGCAGTTTACTGGCTAAATTTGACTTTTTGATACACCTCATGTGACAGAATAGTAATCTTTTTAAAAAGATGCATGTGAATGCATTTAGGTAGTATTGTGGATCAGGTTCTCCCAGAAGATTCTCTAAGCCAAGAATTTGGGTGTGAGTGATTTATTTAAAAAGTGTTCCCAGCTGGACATGGTGGCTCATGCCTGTAATCCCAGCACGGTGGAAGGCCAAGGCAGGAGGATCACTTGAGCCTGGCAGGTTGAGACTGCAGTGAGCTGGGATCACGCCACTGCACTCCAGTCTGCACTCCAGCTCCAGTGAGCTGTGATCACACCACTGCACTCACACCACGGCACTCTAGAGCAAGACCCTGCCTTAAAAACAAAAATAAATAAAGTGCTCCCAAGAGAAACTGATAAGGGAGTTGGGAAACATGATAAGGAAGGGGAGAAGCCCAGTAAGGGTGTGATTCCAGGTGAAGTTACAGACTAAAACAAATGATATCTCAGTTTATTGTTCCTAGTGTTAAAGGAGTTGAGCTTTTATATACCCTCCTCCCCTGCAGGAAGAGGAGACAGCATAATCACCAAGTTCTTCCCTCGTCCTTATCAGTGATTAACTTTAGGGCCCAAGAGCAAGCCTCTGAAGGCCACACGGGTGAAGTATTAGCAGCAAAGCATGTAAGAAGTGGGGGAAGGGCACGCAGCTGGTGAAAGAGATCTGTAGGTTCCAGCTGGGACACCAACAAGGTCCACTACAAATGGGGTACATGCTATTTAATGTGCCACAGTCCTACCACTTCCAGTTCCCACTCCTGGCCAGCTGCAGCGCCAGGGTTTCTATAATGGAGGGATTGGCATGACACTGTGGCTGGAAGTGGAAGGCTATCATGAGGCTGTGCTTACTTAGCACTTTATACAAGATGAGAAAACATCAATTGTCCATACCTGAGATTGGAGAATATATTGGGGATTAGGGGAGTTTGTGTTAAATTCCTCCCTCCCCAAGCCCAGTTTTGTTTTCACCCCAACATTTAGCCATTTCATTATTTGGCCTGGCTCCTATATGCATTTTCATGTGGTGACTGCATAACTCGTGTGATAGGAGATTAACACGATGATAGAATGTTAGACTGAAGAGACTTAGATTATTTGAACCTCTCCCTTAACTTTACAGATTATGAAAGGAGGTTCCCAGATGTTGTGACTCTCATAAGGTCACAGCGCTAGTGGTGGGAGAGACTGTGTAGCACCTATGTCTCCTGACTCCCATGGGGTTGCTTAGTCTAGGGCTCAGCTTCATTCAGTCCTTCTACACGTGGGTTATGACGAGGCTGACTCCTCAGAGAGACTGAGTTAGATAAATTTATTAAATTGTAGGGCTCAATATAAATGTTTAAGTGTGGTTATGATCTCAAAAAGAAATATCTTGTCCAGCCAAAACTGATGAGCTTTGAGGGGCGGCAGCTACAGGTTATTGCACAGAAAATGGAGGGCATTAAACTTAATTCTCTGTATGATGCTTCTAATATCTCCTAAATGTGTTTTATATCCTCAACGTTTCCCACAAACTCATTGGTAAAGGCCTCACTTGATTTTAGTTCACTGGAGCTGATGACTGAGGTAGCTAAGGAAATTGGCTTATACTTCACACTTTAAAAACATAAGTGATCCCATACCATAACTTTTTGAACTGTCCCAAGCATCAGTTTGCTGAGGATACATCATTTTAGAAACATGGAAATGTCAATGAAATGAGTTAATGCCTAAACTAACATTTAGTACCATGCTTGGTGATATGGTTTGGATTTGTGTCCTCATCCAAATCTCATGTCAAATTGTAATCCCCAGTGTTGGAGGAGGGGCCTGGTGAGAGGTGATTAAATCAGGGGAGCAGATTTCTCCCTTGCTGTTTTCATGATAGTGAGTTCTCACGAGATCTGGTTGTTTAAAGGTGTGTGGCACTTTCCCCCGTTTCCTCCTGCTCTGGCCATGTAAGATGTGCCTCCTTTCCCTTTGCCTCTGCCATGATTTAAGTTTCCTGAGGCCTCCCTAGCCATGCTTCCTGTACAGCCTGCAGAACCATGAGCCAATTAAACTCCTTTTCTTTATAAATTACCCCATCTCAGGTAGTTCTTTATGGTAATGTGAGAACGGACTAATACACTTGGCATAAAGAAAGCAGTTGATAAAGTTTTTAAACAACAAAAATTACATAAAGGGCTAAGGGCTTCTGACTTAGGTTGGAGGAATATCTTGGGATGCTTTTCATTGTAATATTTTCCAACATCTACATGGGAAGCAAGAAACTTGGCCTGGTTGCTTGTTGAAACAATTCTCGAGAGGAGACCCAGGGAGTTCAGGCTGACTGTTGAGCATTGTTAGAACTTGAACAAAGGAGACTGGTGACTAACTCAAGGACAAATTTGTGGGTTGAAATATGAGGATTCAGGCTGACTGACAGGCTGAAGCTGGATACTGGGTAGGAGTAGAGAGAACCTGGAAAGACATTGCAGAGGATCAGAGAAAGAAAGGCAGAGTAGAAATTGGAGACAGAGGCTCAGATGTTTCATAGCCTGGCCTGGCCTGGAGAGGGTTAACAGCAGCAGGCTCTGGCCTGAATGATTGAGGATCATGCACTTTGACAGTCTGGAGGTCAAGTACTGCAAGGTTGCAAACCGCAGCTGCAAACCGCAAGGTTGTTCTGGGCAGCTAACAATTAGCCTGGTGTGAAAAGCCCTCTCATTTATCTTTCTTCATGGTTGACATCTGATGGAGTCATTCAATTCACGTCAAACTCTTTGACAAATGATGTTGGATATGATTTATTTGGCTCTTAAACAGTGTAAGTGCAATTCAGATATATGGTCTCCCTCCCTTCACCTATCAGAAGACAGTATCTTCTTAGCTACCACGACAAACAGAAGATTCTATACTACCAGAGCTGTGCCCCAGCATCCTGGGTCTTTATGTTTCCATCTCTCCCCTAGCCACCCTCCTTCTCCTGCGGGTGTTTCTGTGGTTTAGTACACAGAATAGGCTGAGCCAATATGAGAACGAGATGGTTCAAGCCTCACTTTTTTTCCCTCACTGACCACTCAATTGCCCTAAGACCATCATACCAGGCCAAGCAGGTAGACACAAATTTTATTTATGGGAGGGTTAAGCAATTTTAGCATAAGTTTATAAAGAAGGCCAAGAGTTGATTTCTCCTTCCCCTGGATGCAGGGTTATGGGAAGGAATGACATCTTTTTTGCAACTCTGTATCAGGTATAGACAGACCACTTCCTTTTAATAGGCTTATTATACCAAGCACAGACATGCCTCCCAAGCATTATCTTAATAGGCTGGGAGGGAAAAAAAAACCCATTCTGAGGAAGAAAAAATTTATTCAATTAGCATAGAGTCTTATCCCAGGCCCTTGGAGTCGATGAGCCCCCATTGATTATGTGGAAATACGCTTGATTTCTGTTCTGCTCTCTTCACATACCTACCAAAATAAAAAGAAGCTGTATTAGTCTTTAATGACCTATTTCTTTTTTTATAGCATAAAGGACTCTGGTTTGGGTTAAATTCTTTCAGTTCAACAGTAGGGAGCTATTTTAACTTTTCTTTACATCTGCAATACCCTAAGTGCAAAAAATGTTTCATAAATGTTACTTATGATGATAATAAGTAAGGGAGACTGATTTAGGTCTTTTTTGGTTTTGATTCCTCTCATTTCTCCACTGCCAGTCTCCTTCTAGAGAGCATTGGCTCTGGATTAAATCGCAAAATAGATCAAGATTTCCAAAGTCATCTTTGCTCTCTATTCTTGCTGCTTTCCCCCATCAGTGGCAGAGGGGCCTCATTTCTCAGCCCCTGATGGTCCTATTCCTTTTCAATAAAAACCACTCTTGCTTATCTATACTGGAGTAGAATTAATAAAAGCTTAAAGAGTTACCCTTTCCAAGCCTATGGTTAGAACAGAGGTTACCAGCTATTAATAACATTCCTACTGAAGCAGACAGACAGATGACTTACATGGGGAAATTGGGTGGATGAGCCAGAGAGGAGAGCTCATCATTGTCTAGTGATGAGCTGCTACTCAGCTCTAGCTGACTGTGACAATGAGGAATGCTGGCCCAGTATTGCCAAGTATTTTCCAGGTTTTCAAAAAAGCCAGAAAGCTTGATTTTAGGGGATATCTTCCAATTTTCCAGTGAGTTAAATAGATAACTTAGAATACAAGTGAGCAATCCCACTCCTAAATATCTACCCAAGAGAAAGGGGTTATGTCCATAAAAACATGTGTAAGAATCCCCATAGCAGCTTTATTTATAAAAGCCAAAAAATGAGAAACAAGCCAACTGTCCCTTATTTAATGTTGGCTCCCTAAATTATCACTCAAACTACCTGTTGATAAAGACAAAGCTGAATCGAGAACTATCCTGACAGAGTCTCTGTAGTGTGACAGAGTCTCTGTAGTGTGACAGAGTCTCTGCAGTGTCTCAGAGTGGTAAGGACCAAGTCAGGATATTTATTGATAGCTTGAAGTGCTTTAAGGTGGGTCTTTCAGTGTAAGAGAGTAGGTCTTGGTTAGGAGCAGAAAAGAATATGATAATTAGGATTGATGGACACAGCAAGGCAAGGTAAAGGGTTTAAAGCAACTAAAGGTGTAAATTATTGTTTGTTGATTTCTATTGAAGAGTTTCAAGAATTTCCTGGAATGAATAATAAAGTGGTTTGTGACTTTTATCTTCCTAGACAAGAGTTTCTTAAAATAGTAAAATGATCCTGATGATGCCAGTGAAATAGTAGAGTCATGCTAAGGTAGGTAGTCAACTGTATAAATGTAGATGGTTTGGGTTCTCATCTTCAATAAGAGAATGAATACATTCTGGCATATTTATAAAATTGAATACTACATACTACTCAACAACAAAAAATTAACAAACTATTCCTATACACAGTAACATGGATGACTCTTATAGGGATGATGATGAGTGAAAGAAGCCAGATGCAGAAGAGAAAACAGTGTGATATGTTCAAGAACATATATAAAGTGTCAAGAACAGGCAAAACTAATCTATAGAGATAGAAGTCAGAATAGTGGTTACCTCTGAGGAGGTAGGGCAGGTGGTAGGTGTGGTATTACTTGGGAAGTGGCACAAGGGAACTTTACAGTGTTGAAAATATTCTATAACTGAGTGGTGATTACATGGATATACATATGGTGATTGAGAAATCATTGAGCCCTATACCTAAGATTAGTATACTTTATGCACTTTCATATATGTCTCACCTCAATTAAAAACATATATACACACAAAATACCACCAAGCTGCAAGAACATACTCAAATAACAAGATTTCCATTACACTCATTAAAACAGCTGTCCATGTTGGGGGTGAAGAGAAAATAGAAGTGAGCTATGGGAAAAAAAATATTATGAAAACAAACATATAAGAAATGGAACCCCATCTCTACTAAAAATACAAAAATTAGCTGGGTGTGGTGGCACATGCCTGTAATCCAGCTACTCAGCAGGCTGAGGCAGGAGAATCGCTTTGAACCTGGGAGGCGGAGGTTGCAGTGAGCCAAGACCACACGACTGCACTCCAGCCTGGGTGACAGAGCAAGATTCCACTTCAAAAAAAAAGAGAAAGGACTTTTTCAGAATCAAAGGTGGCAATGCATCCTAAATTATAAATAGTTAATGATTCATTCAACTCTCTCCTTTTGAGATCTAAAATAATGCATACTTAAAAGATTTTTTAAAAGGTAAAACCAACTATAAAATGTACATGTGTCAAATATTTTGATTAACTCATTAATCAGTATGAACCAGTTACGATGCTACAGTGGGAACCAGTAAGATGCTACGACCAGTTCAAAAGACATTTAAAGAGCAGAAACTTACACAAGGGAATAAAAAATTATGAAATAAATTTCTAAACAGGTGCAAAAAAGATTTAAACAGATCTACCTATCTATATCATCTATCAATCATCTATATGTAATAATCAATTGCATTTCACTAAACACAATGAATTTGTATGTCTCTCGACAAGAATCACTTATATTATTTGTTTTGTATAACTAGCAGAACTATTTTTAAAAGCAGCTCAGACAGTGAAAAGAAGTGATAACCTGGATGGGTGAGCTAGAGTGAAAAAAAAAAACCTTTAAAATTTTGTTTATTATTCTTTTTCTGAATACACACATACACACAAATTTAAAACTGGGCAGTCTGAGAAAAAACACAGACACAGGCCTATTTTAGCTCAGGAACCTCAAAATTTCAAGCACTGTTTTGGAATTTTAAAAGTTGAGGGTGCAAAAGAGCCTCAGAGTTCATCTATTTTAAAAAGGCCTCAAACTACAGGAATGGCACTTTCTTATAGCTGCTTGGCCACCAGTCAGCAAGAGGGATACATTTTAAGAGACAGCCCGGTCTTTGAAATGTTCAGAAATTACCCCACCTCAGCCACCCCTCTTTTTGCTGGTATGCCTAACCCTGATTCTGAAATCTGGTCTCATTGTATAATATAGAAGAATCTCATATGATAGATCATTGTCTGGACTTCTGATAAAATATCAGGATGTCTTTTTCATAGTCATCTAACTTGCTAGGTTTCTGTTTCAGGCAGTGGGATAAGATATAGCCTAATTCTTGATCACGAGCCAGGAGGAAAGGCAGAGAACTCTCAATTTCACAAAAGGAACAAAGCTTCATTTATAGCACACCACTGCGCAAGATAGAATTTCATGAGTCAGTCGATAAGGATAATTAAACTGTGTAGGTCAAGGACTAGACACAACAATTCAACCTCCAGAAAATCCATTAAACAAAAGCATAAAGAACATTATTTAAAAGCTGCAATATTTAATTATTGGTGCATTTAAAAAATTGCTTTATTGCTGCTAAACAATGTTGAGAAAATAATAAAAGCCCAAATTCTCAACAATATTTCATCAAAAAAATCAACTTCAAAACATACTAACAATAATCCTTTTTTTTTTTTTTAATTCACTGTGTAAATTCCCTACTTTTGTGCTTTGCTTCTGCCATTTCCTCTTCCTGGGCTGGCTTCTTGTCTCTCTTTTTGAGACGGAGTCTAGCTCTGCTGCCAGGCTGGAGTGCAGTGGTGCCATCTCGGCTCACTGCAACCTTCACCTCCCAGGTTGAAGCAATTCTCCTGCCTCAGCCTACCGAGTAGCTGGGACTACAGGTGCGTGCCACCACACCCAGCTAATTTTTGTATTCTTAGTACAGACGGGGTTTCACCATGTTGGCCAGGATGGCCTTGATCTCTTGACCTCGTGATTCACCCGCCTCGGCCTCCCAAAGTGCTGGGATTACAGGCGTGAGCCACCGCACCTGGCCTCTGGCTTCTTGTCTCTTTAAAACATCTCTTTAAGATTCTTTTCTAGGAAACCCTCTCTGGGGATCACAGCATGCTAAATTTTCCCCCATTCTGAATCTTTTTAGTACTTTTTATTTTATTTTCACTTTTAGAGATGGGATCTTGCTATGTTGCCCAGGCTGGAGTGCCGTGGCTATTTTGAGGCATAATTATGGCACACGACAGCTTTCAACTCCTGGACACAAATGATCCTCCTGCTCCAGCCTCCCAGGTAGCTGGGGCTACAGGTGTGCCCCACCAGGCGCACTTTTGGCACATTTAAGGCATAGTTTCTTCTAGCACTTTAAAAAATATCCACTTTATTAAGCTATAGTTCACATATAATGCTACCCATAGTAAATGTAAGTTTGAAGGGTTTTGTCAAATGTATACACCCTTGTAACCACCACCATAATCAAGGTACAGAATATTTCTATTCCCCACAAAATTTTATCATGCCCTTGTAGGTAATTCCATTATATCACCACTTCTGCCCCCAGACAACTCCTGATCTGCTTTCTGTCACTGTAGATTAGTTTTGCCTGTTCTAGAGTTTCATATAAATGGAATCGTATGATATGTACTGTTTGGTGTCCAATGTATTTGGCTCAGCATAATATTCTTACAATTTACCTATGCTGTTCTATCAGTATTTTATTCCCTTTGCTTGCTGAGTTATAGTCTGTTGTACAAATAGATCTCAATTACTTGATCCATTTACCTACTGTTGGAGACTTAAGCTGTTTCCATGTTTTGCTACTATAAAAAGCTAATATGAACATTTTTGTACAATATTTGTGTGGACATATATTTTTCTTTTTAAAATATTAATCGATTAATTTTTATTGCATATATTTAAGTTGTCTAACATATTCTGATATACATATAAATAGTGAAATTACTATGGTTAAACAAATTAACATATCCATACCTTACATAGTTTATGTGAAAAGAGCACTTAAAATCCACTCTTAGCAAATTTTCAGTATACAACACAGTGTTGCTAACTATAGTCCTCATGCTGTACATTAGATACCTAGACTTATTCATTCCACATAACTGCAAGTTTGTATCCTTTGGCCTACACTTCTCAATTCCCTCCCTCTCCCTACCCTTGGTAACCACCCTTCTACTCTCTACATATACAATTTCTTTTCGATTGTGCAGACATATATTTTTATTTCTCTCTTACACACATGTATGCATACATATATACCAGCTATATATGTATATGTACCTACATACGTATAACATACACATATATGATTTTGTATGGTAAATATATGTTTAACTTTATAAGAAAACTGTTGACCTGTTTCTCAAAGTGTTGTACCATTTTACATTCTCACCAGCTGTGTATGAAACTTTCAGTTATTACACATTTCCATCGACACTTGTCAGACTTTCTTATTTTTGTTATTCCAGTGGATGTGCAGTGATATCCATTACAGCTTTAATTAGCATTTACCTGAATGCTAATAATGATGAGCATGTTTTCATGCGCTTATATAAAGTAGGAAGGAGCTAGAGGATGGGTGGAGTCAGATTGTGAAGGAACATCTAGACAAGCTAAGTAGACCAGCATTTGCCAGATCTCCTCTCATCAGGCCCTTAAAACAATTTCTGGAACCACTTTCACAGAAATATATAACATTGCAAATAATTTTTTGATCATTTAATCATTTTTATGTGCATGACAACTGAATGAACTGAAGTAAAATACATAACTATTAAAAAGTTTATTTTAGGTACACTATTTAATATCAGTAATATATGAAGACAAGTCTTGCCTATTCCCCTATTAAGAATGCATGCATGCTGTTCAATTTAAACTCTATAAAAAGTGTGATTTGTCAGCTAACAAATTAAAATATGACATATACTGTGTTTGGCTTTGGAACCTAGTATATACTGAAATATGGAAGTGAAATTTAATTTTATTCTGTGGGATCAAGAAGTATTCAAGTTGTTTTCATGGCCTGATATTTGAAATTCCTGTTTTACTTTAAGATATCAACAGGTTTGTGTTTATCTTTTTTATGTTTTGCTTCTTAATGGCATGATGGGAGATAAGGTTTCAGAATTCTCTTGGAAAATAACACATGGCAGGAATGCATTATGTTCATTCCTGAAAATTAAGAGCCAAATGGAATGTAATTGTCACTATGCTGTCCGTCTTTTTAACACTGTTTTTGTAACTATTTGATGCACTCTCAAAGCTTTTGATAAGAATCATGCAATTTACAGATCTATTGAGGTTCTATTTGAGGCAAATTAATAGTGATATTATTATTATTATTATTTGAGACAGAGTCTCACTCTGTCACCCAGGCTGTAGTACAGTAATCTCGGCTCACTGTAACCTCTGCCTCCTGGGTTCAAGCAATTCTCCTGCCTCAGCCTCCTGAGTAGTTGGGATTACAGGCACCACCATGCCTGGCTAATTTTTGTATTTTTAGTAGAGATGGGGTTTCACCATGTTGGTCAGGCTGGTCTTGAACTCCTGACCTCGTGATCTGCCTGCCTCGGCCTCCCAAAGTGCTGGGATTACTGGCGGGAGCCACCATGCCCAGCCAATAGTGATATTATTTTTTATTTTTATCAGCTTATTAGATTTCAACACTTATATTCAATAGGCTTTCTGTTTTTAATTAATGGTCCATACAGCTTAATAAATTAGTATAAGGCAAACATCCTTACAACCACCATTCGTGTCAGAAGCCAGAGACTCTCCAGATACTCCACAAATCTTACACGTTTTCAGTCCCAGTTTCAACTCATCCTTCCCCCAACAGTAAGCACTGTGTTGACTTTATGATATTCACTTTCTTATTTTTCTGTAGTTTCACAACCCAAGTGTGCATTACTAAACTGCCATTTCGTTTTGCTTGTTTTTTTTAAAGTTTGCCTTTTGAGTCTTTTAATTTATAGGTTTCTTCTTCTTCCCTCTCTTGCCTTGCAATTATTTGTTGTAGAAACATGATTATTTCTCCCATGTTTTCCAACAGTCTGGGTTTACTGATTATATCCCCTTTTCACAGGTTCCTCTGCCCTCTGTATTCCTATGAATTGATATTTGGATCTTGAAAACTAGTCAGATTCAAGTTTGGTTGTTTTAGCAAGACTATTTCACAGGCGATGATGTATATACTTCATCAGGAGACACACAATGTTTGGTTGTCTCTCTTTCTGTGCCTTGAGCAGCTTTGGTTGCATATTGCCCAAATGATTTAATTATTTACAAATTGCAAAACGGCAGTATTCCTATTGTCACATTCCTTCTTCATTTATTTGCTGAAAATTTTAATGAGAAAGTTTGCCTTATCTACCATTTGATTATGTAGTGATAGAGTTCATATAGGAAAGGAAGGATAAATAGTTCTTTCCTTTTATTTACTAATTTCCAAAATAAGTAATTGGTTTGCTAGCATCTCCAAGGTGATCAATTAGCGCATGCACGCACGTGTGTGTGTGAGAGCGAGAGAGAGAGAATTGACTCATTGATTTATACATATTTCATGTGTTTAGAAATCTGACAGATACTACCCTTATTCGTGCTAAAATTATCTCATTTTGGGGCCAACTCTGAGTTGGCTCCCAAGTCTACAAAAGATGTATTTTAGAATTCTTTCTAACAAGAATCTGGCTGTGAGAAAAGACCACAAAGGAAATAAGAATTTTGCACCAAAAGGATTTGCTTTGGCTCATCTAGCAATTTTGTTTTATAGTCTGTACATGCCCTATTTTACTAGAAACTGAATTATGCTTCATTATTTTTAGTCTCATGACTGTGTGAGTGGCAGGATTTACCAAAGACAAGCAGTATTAGAATGTGAATTACAGAAACTCTACCTAACTTCTAGAGAAATAAACATTGTCTGACAGGTGTAAACTATCACTCTTACTGGTAAATAACCACAGCTGGCCTTGAAGGGGAACCACTTTCCTCTCTAAATGATGCATAGCCAGGCTTTGACAATAATTCACAGTCTCTGGAGCACAGCGCTGTCTGGGTTCATTTATGTCCTCAAGCCTCTTTGTCCTTAATTGCAGCCTTCCTTACTAGGCTCTATTTTTAACCCCTTAGAAACTATGGTAAATGTTTGTTTTTTTACTAAAATATTTTAAACATAAATAAATAGAGAAGTATTATAAACATCTGTAGAATGGCTATCTAGAATTCCCAAATTGTATTATTTTGTAGTATTTGCTTCAGACCATTTTAAAAAAGAAAAAATATAATAAACACATAGTCCCCTTAATTCTCTACACTAGTTCTATTTACCTCCCTCATTGCAGAGGCAACCACTATTTTGATGTTGATTTGAATGATTGAATGAATGTTGATTCATTCTATGCATATTTTAATGCTTATGCTCCATGTCTAGATCTATGAAAAATATTTAGAATTGTTGTGTCTTTTCAAAGTTTTATAAATGTTATTATACTATATGGCATCTCATCCACTAACTTGATTTTCTCGCTGGATGTTTCATTTTGGGAATCTATTTTTGTTGCTGTTTTGAGACACGGTCTTTCTCTGTCACCCAGGCTGGATTGCAGTGGCACAATCATGGCTCATTGCTGTCTTGACTTCCTGGGCTTAAGCAATCCTCCCACCTCAGCCCCTTGAGTACCTGGGGCTACTGGCCATGCCACCATGCCCAGCTAATTTTTAAATTTTTTGTAGAGAGGGCGTCTCATTGCCCAGACTGGTCTTGAACTCCTGGGCTCAAGAGATCATCCTGCCTTGGCCTCCCAAAGTGCTGGGATTACAGGTGTGAGCCACCATGCCTGGCCTGGAATCTATCTATGTTAATACATCTAGTTTATTAATTTTCATTGTTGTATCCATTCTCTTGTTAATGGGCATTTATGTTTCAATTTTTTCCTATTATAACACAGTGCTTCAAATAATATTCTTAAATATGTATGTGGGACAGTTTCTCTAAGGATAGATGAAGAAGCAGAATTTCTGGGGTACAGAGTCTCATATATCTTCAACTATATCAAATTACTCTCTGATGTGGTTACATATTTTTAAACATTTTATTGTGTGTATTTAAGGTGTACAGCATGATGTGTGAGGTACATACAGATAATAAAATGCTTACTATAGTGATACAAGTTAACATATCCATCATCTCACATAGTTATGCATTTTTTCTGTGTATGGCAAGAGCAGCTAAAATGTACTAATTTAGCAAAAATCCTAAATATAATACAATATTATTAACTATAGTCCTCATGTTGTACATTAGATCTCTAGACTTGGGCATCCTACGTATCTACTACTTTGTATCCTTTAACTTACATCTCCCCATTTCCTATCTCCTCCTAACCCCCCATCTTTGGTAAACCACTGTTTTATTCTCCATCTCTGTGTATTTAACTTTCAAAAAAAGATTCCACGTATAAGTGAGATCATGCAATATTTTGCTTTTTGTGTTTGTCCTGTTTCACTTGGCATAATGTCCTCCGGGTTCATCAATGTTGTTGCAAATTCTGGGATCTCCTTCTTTTTTAAGGCTAAATGATATTTTGTTATGTATATAATGTTATATATAACAGTTTATTTTTCATTTGAGCCTATTAAATTAAATTTAATTTTGAAGATTTTTATTTTCAAATTACTTTGATCATTACACATCATGTATCAAATTTGAGTTATTAGCATATCCATCACCACGAAAATGTATCATTTCTTCGTGATGCGAACATTCAAAATTCTCTCTTCTATCTACTTGAAGATATAAAATAAATTATTGTTAACTATAGTTACCCTACGGTGCTACAGAACACTAGAACCTATTCTATCTATCTAGCTGTAACTTTGCATCTGTTAACCAACATCTCCCTATTCCCACTTCCAACTCTTTCTCAGCTTCTAGTAACCACTTTTCTACTTTTTACTTTAATGAGTTTCACTTTTCAGCTTCCACATATGAGTGCCAACATGTGGTGTTTATCTTAGTGTGCCTAACTTACTGCATTTAACATAGTGTCCTCCAGGCTCATCCATGTTGTTGTGAGTGACAGGATTGCATTCTTTTTGAATAGTATCCCATTATGTAGACATACCACATACCACATTTTCTTTATTCATTTATTGATGGACATTTAGGTTGATTGTATATCTTAGCTTTTCTGGG
This sequence comes from Homo sapiens, assembly GCF_000001405.40. NCBI lineage: Eukaryota > Metazoa > Chordata > Mammalia > Primates > Hominidae > Homo > Homo sapiens. Next base: position 130,777,017 of record NC_000003.12, on the reverse strand, counting down.
TAGTACTGCAGTAAACATAGGGATGCAGATATCTCTTCAATATACTGGTTTCCTTTTCTTTGGATATATACCCAGTAATTAGATTGCTGGATCATGTGGTAGTTCTATTTTTAGATTTTTGTGGAGTACTGCTTTTCATAATGGCTATACTAAGTTACATTCCCACCAATAGTGTACAAGGGTTTCCTTTTATCTGCATCCTTGCTAGCATTTGTTATTTTTGTCTTTTTGGTAATAGCCATTCTAAGTGGGGTGAGAATGTGGTTTTCATTTGCATTTCCCTGATGAACAGTGATGTTGAAGCATTTTTTCATATATGGGTTGGCCATTTGTATTTCTTCTTCTGAAAAATGTCTATTCAGATAATTTGCCCATTTTAAAATCAGGCTAATATTATTTTTAATGTTGAGTTTTCTGTTTCTTGTATATTCTGGATATTAATCTCCTTGTCAGGTGAATAATTTGCCAGTGTTTTATTCTCTTCTGCAGGTTGTATTTTCACTCTGCTGATTGTTTCCTTTGCTCTGCAGAGACTTTTTAGTTTTATATAATCCTATTTGACTATTTTTGCTTTTTTTGTCTGCTTTTGAAGTCTTATCTGTAAAATCTTTATGCAAACCAATGCTATGAAGTATTTCCCCTATGTTTTCTTCTTATAGTTTCGGGTCTTACATTTAATTATTTAATTCAGTTTTAGTTAATTTTTGTATATGGTGAGAAATAGGGATCTAGTTTCATTCTTTAGCATATGAATATCCAGTTTCTCCAGCACCATTTGTTGAAGAGGTCGTTTTTCCCCCAATGTATGTTCTTGGTGCCTTTGTCAAAAATCAGTTGACTGTATGTATGTGGATTTATTTCTCAGTTCTTTAGTTTGTTGGATTGGCCTATGTGTCTGTTTTTATACAACTGTTGTGCCGTTTTGGTTACCACAGTTTTATAGTATATTTTGAAGTCAGGTAGTGCAGTGCCTCCAGCTTTGTTCTTTTCACTCAGTATTGGTTTTATTGCTGTGGCTTTTTGGGGTCTTTTGAGGTTCCATGAATTTTAGGATTTTTTTTCTGTTTCTGTGAAGAATGTCTTTGGTGTCTTGATAGGGATTGCATTGAATCTGTAGATTGCTTTGGGTAATATGGTCATTAGGTCATTTCTATATCTTGGCTATTGTGAACAATGCTGCAATGAACATGGGTGTGCAGATATTTTTATGAGGTGATGATTTCATTTCCTTTATGTATATACCCAGAAGAAGGATTATTGGTTCACATAGTAGCTTTTTTTTTTTTTGAGACAGAGTCTTGCTCTGTTGCCCAGTCTGAAGTGTGGTGGCACGGATTTCGGCTCACTGCAACTTCTGCCTCCCAGGTTCAAGTGATTCTCCTGCCTCAGCCTCCTGAGTAGCTGGGATTACAGGCGCACACCACCATGCACAGCTAATTTTTGTATATTTGGGTAGAGATGGGGTTTCACTGTATTGGCCAGGCCTTGAACTCCTAGCCTCAAGTGATCCACCTGCCTTGGCCTCCCAAAGTGTGAAGATTATAGGCATGAACCAGGGTACCCAGCCAGTAGCTCTATTTTTAATTTCTTTAAGAACCTCCACAACGTTTTCTGTAACGGCTGTATTGATCTGGTTATGTTAATTTACATGTCCATCAGAAGGGGTTCAAAATTCCTTTTTCCCCATTTCTGGTATATCATACCTTCTAATTTTTGCCAACCTGATAGATATGAAATGGTACCTCATTGATGTTTTAATTTTTATTTGCTTGATTACTAAAGAAGTTGAATACCTTTTTATATACTTATTGGCCATTCTTTTCTTTTTTCTTCTGTGAGTTCTTGGGCAGTGTTCTTCAAATTGCTGAAGGATGATCAATGTAATGAGAAAAGTTGGAGGTGGAAGATCACTTATACACTGGCACAGATTTCCAGTAGTCCTCACTAGTCTCCTCCCCAACTTACATCTTTATCTTAAATCTGTGTGTCTCTTCCCCCTTCTTCCTGTGCATTTATTGTGTGAGGTATCTGAGAGAATAATATAAGGCAGATGAACTAGAATAAGGAGGAAAGATAATAAGGAAATAAGCTCAAAATTAAGAATAAAAAGAAATATAACAGAGACTACAATCTATTGGCGTTTAGCATTATAAAATCCCTATTTTGTTCATTGGATTGAGAAGAACACTAGTTTAATATTTTACTAAGGAACTAGAAAGGGAATCATAGAATTTAGATTTTAGACTTTGTCTTTATAATTTGTAACTTTGCATTTTACAGTGTCCACCTCTTTCATGGCCTCTGAAGGTATATCTTCGGTGTTTGAGGAAAATGAACAGATTAATGTCTGGGGTGGGTTGTATATGGTTAAGAATGGGGCTATGGAAGGCGGTTCTAGGTGTAGTTGCTGGTTCTGTCACTTACTAGCTTTGACAACTTGAAAAGTTTTGTAACCATTCCAGATTTCATTTCCTCAAGATAACAAATAGCACCTACTTTATAGGATTGAAGTAATGATTAATAGAGTAATATATGTAAGTACTAAGAACAATGCCTAGAGTATAGTAACTACTCAATGTCAGTTACAATTATCATCTTGAAAAGTAACACATAAATGAAAATATACTATATAAATGCAGATTCTTATCTTGAGTGGAGAACTCTGAGAGTTCATATGACATTCCTGGAAGTAGATATATATTTTTTTCATGGTTGATAGGAACACCAGCAACTTTAGGGTAACTTATGTGGAAATGATTTCATCCTGGTGTTGGAGAAAAGATGACTATGTTATGAAAGCATTCGTCTATTCATTCATCCATCCATTCATCAAGCATTTATTAGAGAACTGCTTTGTGCCATGAATGCCCTGTGCAAGAAAATGGAGGAAATAAAAAGTTAAATGATACTTAGTATCTGTTATTAAGGAGATAAGTAGGAGAAATAGCCACATGAGTAAATTTATTAATTTAACAAATTTTAGAACAGTGAGAGCACAGAGGAGGGAGTTGCCAACTCTACAAGAATATATTAGGAAAGCTTCTATAGAGATATAAGTTAGGAGGAAAGGAGACCTTCCAGTGCCTTTAAAATTCCACCAGGAAGTTGCTATTGGACTAAGCCAAGGGGGTACTTCATGGTTAGAGGTGGTATTGGAGAGGAGAGGCCTGGGAATAATGTCAAATCAAGAGGGTGTTTAAACCAAGTATTCTGTGGATTCATTGCCAGGAAAAAAATGCAAGGTGGTCACTGGAAGGTTCCAAAGTCATGACCAGGAATATGAAGCATGGTCAAGTTCAAGGCAGGACCAAGGCCCATCTGGAAAATAATCAGTGAAGTTAGAAGTTCAGCTCAGAGAAACAAAGGAAGTTTGTTTTTGAGATCTAGCTGGAGATTTAGGCTCATTCAGTCAATGAGCCTCTTTGGCTGTGCTTATTATCAGCCGTGGGGTAGTGTGAAGTTATTTCAAGGAACTCTGCCAAGCTGAACAGATGCTGCCTAATTTGCCAGCTCATAAGTCTGGTTTTCTGGTTATTTTTCCTCTTTATTCTAGTTCATGTGGGTACTCTTATCTTTAGCACAGTTTTTCTATGTCCTAAAAGTTTTTAAATCCTCCTTAAAAAGAGATCTGTAACACGGTGAAACCCCGTCTCCACTAAAAATACAAAAAATTAGCCGGGCGAGGTGGCGGGCGCCTGTAGTCCCAGCTACTCGGGAGGCTGAGGCAGGAGAATGGCGTGAACCCCAGGGGGCGGAGCCTGCAGTGAGCCGAGATTGCGCCACTGCACTCCAGCCTGGGCGACAGCGAGACTCCGTCTCAAAAAAAAAAAAAAAAAAAAAAAAAGAGATCTGTTTCCATTGAGTCATATTCAGGCAGTAAAATATATAACTTGTCTGTATTATGTGAAATATATCCTATGGAAATTGTGTTTACTAGGGTAGATATAAAATTACATCATCCTGCTTAAGGGCTTAATGAGGGATTCCAGTAGAAGGTGACCAAACTGTGATGATTCAATGTTGAGGGTGGCCCAAAAGAGAAAGGTGCTCACTGTCGCAGCTACTGGATTAATGGGCCAGATTTAAATGCTGAAAACATGTCCAGTGCTGAAATTTATCACCAAATGCATGCCAGAACAGTGGCCCACTTGGCAAATAACCTACATCCTATGCCTTACCTTTCTACTTGTGCTATTAATTTGCTTTCCGTGGATCAATGACTACAAAGTGTGAATCAGTCTTTACAGGAATGGCCAGCTTGCTGGCAGGGCAGTAGCTCTTCTGTAACTTTGCCAAAGTTCACAACTGGGAAGAGATAATTAAATCCAAGCACGAAGCTCAGACATCTTTGAAAGCTTCCCATAAGGTTACCTTCTGCTTCAGGATTTGAGGCTGAATTCAAAGGTCATCCTCTGAAAAGTCAGAAACCATCCAAACTGACCACATTTAAGATAATACTACTAATGAAATCTCCAGAGAGCTTTCTTATCATTAATTCAAGGAACACCTGTTTGTCTCTCTGCATATCCCCTTAGCAAATTACTTTTGCCCCTAGACAAAGATATCTTCTGTCACCCTGCCAAGTCCTTACCTACACACTGGATCTACATTAAGAGAAGAACACAGATGGATAGTAATTGCTGCCATAAGAAAGCTTAGCCTCCCTGAATATGGGGAAGTTAGCTTCTTTGTGGGTTAGGTCTTTCCTGGAATCCATGGCCAGGCATAAGACAGAGGTTCCCTGAATCTAAGATACTAAACTGGGAAGGAAGAACCTTGCTCACACACTAAGGATAGTCTTAAATCCTATCTCAAATATTCACCCATAGTGGGGAAGCTTAGGAGGGACTAGAGAGTCCAGCCTAATCTATATAAGTCCTATGACCTGACAGATGAAGGCAAGTTGTGTGTGGGTAGGTGCCAGGGGGCAATGGAGGGGCATGGTCTGGTATTCAATAGTGTTGAATGAGAATCCAATACAAAGAGAAGCATTTAAGTTAAAGTCATGAGCAGGTGTGTGAGAGGATATTATGGGCAAATCTTGAGATATGCTATGGCCAGTTTTCTGTCTTCCTTTTGCCCTATGTGGGGCAATGCATAGGAAAGTCAGACCCATTCAAAGGGACAAGTATGGGATGTGTTTTGACCCTCTTTGTTCAATTTGCTTTACATGTTCTGGTAGATCCTGTTTCCAAAGGCAGCATTCCATTACTGTCCTTTCAGCCACTCCTTTCTTAGTGAACCAAACACTGAAGTGAGATTTGATGTGCCCAGGAACCCATTGCGTCTTCTCAATCTTAGTTCACTGGGGCTAGGCACTGAAATATGGGACTGAGGATAGGATCTCTGTGGGCAGCAGAGAATAGTAAAAATTTTGTGGATGCACATGGAAGGGAAGGTGGGTACTATAGTATAGGTGATGGGGCAGATGATCTCTGTCATCTAGAAGTAGTCCTAGTAGAGGTCATCTGGTCCTTGTTGTGAGTGAGATGTTAACAATGAATGGAAGGGGAGTCAGATGGAGGATAGCACTTCGAATTTCTCGATGCTTTTGGCATGTAGCTCTTCTTGAACTATAGGTACCGCATCTTAGTACAGAATAGATCCTAATTATTGTGAAAGGTAAGATTCTAGATGAGGTGCTACTGTGAATCATATCCACATGCCATGATAACTAGATCAGCCTTTGACTGTAGGAGTGTTTTCTCAGCAGCTATAGACATGGGTGAACTTCGAACGTAGATTTTGTGCTCTATCTAATAAATGATCTATAGGAGGTGGGAAGTGGAAAGACAAATGAATTTTTTTTGTTTTTTTAGTAGAGCCCTATAAAATAGAAATAGGCTATCAAAATCAGAGTGTGTGGTTGGCTCTTCCATGAGGAGGGGTAAGTTCCTTGAGAGGAGGACAATGGTAGAGAGGGGACATATACATTTTCTTGAGGATATTCACAAGCAGGATAGTGTCCTTGTATGGGGAGGGGACAGTCTGAAATGAAGTGCATTGCCATAATGTTTCATTTAGACTTAGAGTTTGGAACAGCTACGTCATCTTGGCTTATTTCTCTCAAAGTCTCTGAAGATTATGTTTAATCACTTATCCAGGGTAGTTCTAGGATGACAGCATTTCAGATTGTGAAACAAAGCAGGTCATCCTACTAGATTAGTGGCCTTTGCAACCCTTGACCCCGGGCCTCATCTGCATAGCTCTGAGCTCTAGCAGGAGCTACTGCATCATCTTTGTCACCTGAAACTGGGGAGGGATAGCCAGAGTTCTTGTGCCAAAGTGTCCTAGGGCCTGGTGCCCTCACTTTGCCATCTATTTTAGGTTGAGTTTTCTGCCTGGTGGGGCCAGGGCTAGGCAGGGAGGAGACAGGGATTCTACCTCAGGCTCTCAAGGATATATATCCTAGTCTGGGCCCACAGCAGTTCTATTGCCATCAATCAAAGAACACTCACATCAGGGAATTTTGTGATGCCAGGATTGGTGAAGAGATGAGATGGTCATCTATGTCCTGTGATTCTCAAGCATGGAGAGTCATCAAATCATCTGGGGAGTTGTGTGTGTGTGTGTGTGTGTGTGTGTGTGTGTGTGTGTGTGTGTGTGTTTTGTTTTGTTTTTGGAGACGGAGTCTCGCTTTGTCACCTAGGCTGGAGTGCAGTGGCATGATCTCGGCTCATTGCAACCTCCGCCTCCCCGATTCAAGTGATTCTCTTGCCTCAGTCTCCCGAGTAGCTGGGACTGCAGGTGCCTACCACCACACCTGGCTAATTTTAGTATTTTTAGTAGAGACAAGGTTTCACCATGTTGGCCAGGCTGCTCTCGAACTCCTGACCTTAAGTGATCCACCCGACTCGGCCTCCCAAAGTGCTGGGATTATAGGCATGAGCCACCGCACCTGGCCTGGGGAGTTTTCTTAAGTTATAGAATTTAAAACCTCTGGAACTTGAACTATAAAAACAAAAAATTACCCCTCCTCCAGTGATTCTGATTATCAGCCAGGTTTAGGAAATACTGATAGGTAATAGCTTTTGGATCCAGGATGTTGAGTAGAAGAATCCTGTAGTTCAGGCAATTATTGACTTGCTAAACTTGTCAAGGTTGTAGGTGCCCTAGAGGTCCAGCTTTATGTGGGTCAGGGCCACCCAAAAGGCAAAGATCAGAGTGTGTCAAGTTGAGGCTTCTGAACTATTTTATATACATCTAGTTTCACATTCTTCTAGATGCTTACGGAGCCCTTGTTTCCTGCTTCTAGAGTATACCCCAGTGATAAGAACTTGCCTTGGGATCCATTAGAGCTTACTTTTTCCTTAATTTTCAATTTTTGTGGGTACATAGCAAGTGTATATATTTATGAGTTACATGAGACATTTTGATACATTCATACAATGCATAATAATCATATCAGGGTAAATGGGGTACTCATCACCTCAAACATTTATCCTTTGTGTTACAAACAATTCAATCATACTCTTCTATATATTTTTCAATGTATAATTAAATTATTTTTTACTCTAGTCACCCTGTTGTGCTAGCAAATACTAGGTCTTATTCATTCTTTCTATCTTTTTGTATCCATTAACCATCCTACTTCCCTCGCACCCGCCAAGCCTACTATCCTTCCCAGCCTTCAGTAACCATCCTTCTACTCCATCTCCATAAGGTCTATTGTTTTAGTTTTTAGCTCCCACAAATAAGTGAGAACATGTGAAGTTTGTCCTTCCATGGCTGGCTTATTTCATTTCACATAATGACCTCTAGTTCCATCCATGTTGTTGCAAATGACAGGATCTCATTCTGTTTTATGGCTAACTAGTACTGCATTGTATATATGTACCGCTTTTCTTTATCCATTAATCTGTTGATGGACACTTAGTTTGCTCCCAAATTCCAGCTATTGTGAATGGTGCTGCAGTAAACACAGGACTGCAAATATCTCTTTGATATACCGATTCTTTTGGGTATACACCTAGCAGTGGGATTGGTATGGATCATATGGTACTTCTATTTTTAGTTTTTTGAGAAACCTCCAAACTGTGTTCCATAGTGGTTGTACCAATTTACACTCCCAACCACAGTGTACCAGGCTTCCCTTTTATCTACATCCTCGCCAGCATTTGTTATTGCCTGTCTTTTGGATATAAGCCATTTTGACTAGGGTGAGATGATATTTCATTGTAGTTTTGATTTGCATTTCTCTGATGATCAACGATTTTGTGCACTTTTTCATATACCTGTCTGCCAATTGTATGTCTTCTTTTGAGAAACATATATTTAGATCTTTCACAAATTTCATAATCAGATTATTATATATTTTTTTCCTATAGAGTTGTTTGAGTTTCTTAAATATTCTGGTTATTAATCCCTTGCCAGAAGAATAGATTGCAAATATTTTCTCTCATTCTGTGGGTTGTCTCTTCACTTTATCGAGTGTTCCCTTTGCTGTGCAGAAGCTTTTTAACTTGATGTGATCCCATTTGTTCATTTTTGCTTTGGTAGGCTATGCGTGTGGGGTATTACTCATGAAATTTTTGCCCAAACCAATGTATTGAGAGTTTCCCCAATGTTTTCTTGTATTCATTTCATAGTTTGAGGTCTTAGATTTAAGTCATTAATCCATTTTGATTTTATTTTTGTATATGGTGAGAGATAGAGGTCTAGTTTCATTCTTTTACATATGGATATCCAGTCTTCCCAGCACCATTTCTTGAAGAGAGTGTGCCTTCCCTAGTGTATGTTCTTGGGACTTTTTTCAAAAATGAATTCACTATATGCGTGTGGACGTTATTTGTAAGTTCTATATTCTGCTCCATTGGTCTATGTGTCTGTTTTTTTATCCCAGTACTATGCTGTTTTTTTTACTATGTAATTTCTCTAGTTTTGTTCTTTTTGCTTAGGATAGCTTTGGCTATTCTGGATTTTTAGGGTTCCACATACGTTTTAGAATTTTTTTCTATTTCTGTGAAAATGTCGTTGGTATTTTGATAGGGATTGCATTCAATCTATAGATTGCTCTGGGTAGTACAGATGTTTTAACAATATTGATTCTTCTATTCTATGAACATGGAATATCTTCCCATTTTTTGGTGTCCTCTTCAATTTCTTTCATCAGTGTTTTATAGTTTATATTATAGAGATGTTTCAATTCTTTGGTTAATTCCTAGGTTTTTACTTTTATTAAATATGATAAAATTGACTATTATAAATAGGATTCTATTTAAGTTTCTTTTTCAGGTTGTTCACTGTTGGCATATAGAAATGCTACTGATTTTTGTATGTTTATTTTCTATCCTATGACTTTACTGAGTTTGTTTATCACTTCTAATATTTGTTTAATAGAGCCTTTAGGTTTTTCCAAATATAAGACCATGTCATCTGCAAGCAAGGATAATTAACTTCTGTCTTGCCATTTTTCGATGCCCTATATTTCTTTCACTTGTTTAATTGCTCTATCCAGGAATTCCAGTACTATACTAAATAACAGTGGTGAAAGTGGGGATCCTTGTCATGTTCTTGATCTTAGAGGAAGGGCTTTCAGTTTTTCCTCATTCAGTATGATACTAGCTATGGTCATATATGGCCTTTATTATGTTGAGGTATTTTTCTTCCATACCGAGTTTTTTTAGGGTTTTTATCATGAACAGATGTTGAATATTATCAAATGGTTTGTTAGCATCAATAGAAATGATCATATGGTTTTTGTCCTTCATTCTGTTAATATAACATACGACATTGATTGATTTGCATATGGTAAACACTCTAGCATCCCTGTGATAAATCCCACTTGATCATGATGAATGATCTTTTGAATATGTTGTTGAATTCAGTTTGCTAGTGTTTTGTTGAGAATTTTTGCATCAATATTCATCAGGGATATTGGCCTGTAGCCTTCTTTTTTTGATGCGTCTCTGTTCAGTTTTGGTTACCAGTATAATACTGGCCTCGTATAATGAATTTGAAAGTATTCCCTCCTCCTTTATTTTTTGGAATAGTTTGGGTAGGATTGGTATTCATTTAAATGTTTGGTAGAGTTAAGCAGTGAAGTCACTGGGTCCCGGGCTTTTCTTTGCTGGGAGACGTTTTATTATGGCTTTGATCTCATTATTTGCTATTGATCTGTTCAGGTTTTGGATTTATTCATGGTTCAATCTTGGTAGATTTTATGTGTCTAGGAATTTATCCACTTCTTCTAGATTTTTCAATGTATTGGCATATAGGTGCTCATAGCAGCCACTAAAAATCCTTTGAATTTCTGTGGTACAGTTGTAATACCTCCTTTTTCATCTCTGATTTTATTTATTTGTGTCTTCTCTTTTTTTTTGTTAGTCTGGCTAAGAGTTTGTCAATTTTGCTTATCTTTTCAAAATTCCAACTTTTTGCTTCATTGATATTTTGTATTATTTATTTTGTTTCAATTTCCTTTATTTCTGCTCTGATCTTTATTTCTTTTCTTCTACTAATTTTGGGTATGGTTTGCGCTTGCTTTCCTAGTTCTTTAAGATGCATCATTGGGTTACTTGAAGTTTTTCTTCTTTTTTTTTTTTTTTTAGATGGAACCTCACTCTGTCGCCAGGCTGGAGTGCAGTGGCACGATCTTGGCTCACTGCAACCTCCGCCTCCTGGGTTCAAGTGATTCCCCTGCCTCAGCCTCCCGAGTAGCTGGGACTATAGGTCCATGCCACCACACCTGGCTAATTTTTTGTATTTTAGTACAAACGTGGTTTTACCATGTTGGCCAGGCTGGTCTCGAACTCCTGACCTCGTGATCCACCTGGCTAGGCCTCCCAAAGTGCTGGGGTTATAGGTGTGAGCCACTGTGTCTGGCCAGTTTTTCTTCTTTTCAACATAGGCACTTACAGGTATAAACTCCCTTCTTAGTACTGCTTTCACTATATCCCATAGGTTTTGGTATGTTGTGTTTCCATTTCCTTTGTTTCATGAAATTTTCCAGTTTCCTTCTTAATTTCTTCATTGACCCACTGGTCATTCAGGAGCATATTATTTACTTTCCATGTATTTGTATAGTTTCCAAAATTCCTCTTGTCATTGTTTCCTAGTTTGTGGTCAGAGAAGATGCTTGATCCTATTTCATTTTTTTAAAATGTTTTAAGACTTGTTTTGTGATCTAACAATTGGTCTATGCTTGAGAATGATCCATATGCTGAGAAAAAGAACATGTATTCTGGAGCTGTTGGATAAAATGTTCTGTAAATATCTATGAGGTCAATTTGGTATATAGTGCAGATTAAGTCTGATGTTTCTTTGTTGGTTTTAGTCTGAATAATTTGTCCAATGCCGAAAATGGAGGTGCTACACTCTCCCAATATTATTGCATTGGAGTCCATCTCTCTCTTTAGCTCTAATAATAGTTGGTTTTTGTATCTGGGTGCCCCACTGTTGGGTGCATATATATTTATAATTGTTATATCCTCTTACTAAATTGACCCCTTTATCACTACATAACCTTCTTTGTCTCTTCTTACAGTTTTTGTCTTGAAATCTACTTTGTGTGATATAAGTATAGCTACTTCTGCTCTTTTTGGGTTTCCATTGGCATGCAATATCATTTTCCATCCCTTTATTTTCAGTCTTTCTGTATCTTTTTAGGTGAAGTGTATTTCTTATAGGCAAGAGATCATTGAGTCTTATTTTTTATCCATTCAGCCACTATTTCTTTTGATTGGAGAGTTTACATTCAACGTCATTGTTGATAAATAGACTTACTCCTGCCATTTTGTTATTTGTTTTCTGGTTGTTTTGTGATCTTCTCTTCCTTCTTTCCTTTCTTCCTGTCTTATTTTTAGTGAAGGTGATTTTTTTTTAGTGGTATGGTTTAATTTCTTGCTTCTGTGTGTGTATATATATGCATTGTATGTTTTATTTGTTGTGACCATGAGGCTTGAAAATACTAACATAACCCATTATTTTAAGCTGATAACAAATTAACAGTGTACAAATAAACAAACAAGGAAAAAGAAAACAAATGACAAGTCTAGATCTTAACTTAATCCCCACTTTTTAACTTTTTGTTGTTTCTATTTACATTATATTGTACTATCTATGTCTTGCATAGTTGTTGTAGTTACTATTTTTGATTGATTCATCTTTTAGTCTTTCTATTTAAGATAAGAGTAGTTTACATACCACAATTACAGTGTTATAATAGTCTGTGTTTTTCTGTGTGCTTACTATTACCAGTGAGTTTTGTACTTCAGATGATTTCATATTGCTCATTAGTGTCCTTTACTTTCTGTACTCCCTTTAGCATTTCTTGTAGGATAGGACTGGTGTTGATGAAAAATCCCTCAGCTTTGGTTTGTCTGTGAAAGCCTTTATTTCTCCTTCATGCTGAAGGATATTTTTCACTGGATATACTATTCTAGGATAAGTTTTTTCCTTCAACACTTTAAATATGTCATGCTACTCTCCTGCCCTGTGAGGTTTCCACTCAAAAGTCTGCTGCCGGCCAGGTGTGGTGGCTCATGCCTATTATCCCAGCACTTTGGGAGGCCGAGGCAGGCGGATCACGAGGTCCGGAGGTCGAGACCATCCTGGCTAACATGGTGAAACCCCGTCTCTACTAAAAATACAAAAAAATTAGTGGGGCTTGGTGGCGAGTGCCTGTAGTCCCAGCTACTCGGGAAGCTGAGGCAGGAGAATGGCGTGAACCCGGGAGGCAGAGTTTGCAGTGAGCCTAGATCATGCCGCTGCACTCTAGCCTGGGTGACAGAGTGAGACTCTGACTCAAAAAAAAAAAAAAAAAGAGTCTGCTACCAGGTGTACTGGACCTTCACTGTATGTTATTTATTTATTTTCTCTTGCTGCTTTTAGGATCTTTCCTTTATCCTTGACCTTTGGGAGTCTGATTATTAAATGTGTTGAGGTAGTCTTCCTTGAGTTAAATATGCTTGGTGTTCTCTAACCTTTTTGTATTGAATGTTGATATCTTTCTCTAGACTTGAGAAGTTCCAAGATATTATCCCTTTGAATAAACTTTCTACTCCTATCTATTTCTCTACCTACTCTTTAAGGCCAATGATTCTTGGATTTGCCCCTTTGAGGCTATTTTCTAGATCTTGTTGGTGTGCTTTATTCTTTTTTTACTCTTTTTTCTTTTGTCTCTTCTGACTGTATATTTTCAAGTAGCCTGTCTTCAAGCTCACTAATTCTACTTGATCAATGCGGCTATTAAAAGACTCTGATGCCCTTTTCAGTATGTCAAGTGTATATTTCAACTCCAGAATTTCTTCTTGATTCTTTTTAATTCAATGTTTGCTAAATTTATCTGATAGAATTCTGAATTCCTTCTCTGTGTTATCTTGAATTTCTTTGAATTCTCTGTCTGAAAGGTCACATATCTCTGTTTCTCCTGGATTTGTCCCTGGTGCCTTATTTAGTTCGTTTGGTGAGGTCATGTTTTTTTGCATGCTCTTGATGCTTGTGGATGTTCATCAGTGTCTGGGCATTGAAGAGTCCAGTATTTATTGTAGCCTTCACAGTCTGGGAATGTTTGTACCTGTCCTCCTTGGGAAGGCTTTCCAGGTGTTTGAAAGGATGTGGGTGTTGTGATCTAATCTGTATCTGAATTAGGGGTCACCCCACGCTCAGTAATATTGTAGTTCTTATAGATTGTAGAGGTATTGCCTTAGTGGTATTGGATAAAATCCAGAAGAATTCTCTGGATCACCAAGCAGAGACTTTTGTTCTCTTTCCTTACTTTCTCCCTAACAGAGTCTCCCTCTGTGTGCTAAGCCACCTGTAACTGCGGGTGGAGTGACACAAGCACCCCTGTGGCCTTCACCACTAGGACTGCACTGGGTCATATCTAAAGCCAGCACAGCACTGGATTTTGCCAAAGCCCACTGTAACTACTTGGCTACCACTTATGTTTGCTCACAGCCCTAGGGCTCTACCATTAGCAGGTGGCAAAGTCAGCCAGGCTTGTGTCCTTCCCTTCATGACAGCAAGTTCCCGCAGGCTTAGGGTGCACACAGAGATTCCATGCAGGAGCTAGGGACTAGAGTCGAAAACCTTAGAAATGTACCCAGTGTTCTATTATATTGCAGCTGAGTTGGAACTCAAACCATGAGACACAGCCTTTCCTACTCTTCCCTTCCCTTTCCATAGGCAAAGGAGCCTCACCCTGTAGCCACTACCACCACAGGCCCACTGGGAGTACTAACGGGCTACTGCTGATGTTCACTTATGGTCCAAGCACTATTCAGTCAGTTTGTGGTAAATGCTGCCAGGCCTAGGACTCACCCTTAAGGGAAATGTGCTCTCCAGTGGTCCAGGGTGGGTCCAGAAATGCCATCCAAGAGCCAAGGCCTATAATTGGGAACCCCAAGAGACTACTTGGTACTCTACCTGACTGTGGCCGAGCTGGTACCTAATGTGCAAAACTAAGCCCCCTTTAGTTTTCTTTCTGTTTTTCTCAAGCAGGAAGAGTCTCTCACCGTAGCCACTACAGTTGGGAATGTGCTGGGTCTCACCTGAATCCAGCTCATCTCAGAGTCTTACTCAAGGCCCCTGGTATACTACCTGGGTATCACTGTTGGTTATTTAGGGCTGAAGGGCTGCTTAGCTAGAAGGTGATGGATCCTGCCAGGACTGGGCCCTTCCCTTCAAGGCAGTGGGTTCCCTTCTTGCCCAGGGTGTGTCTCAACATGTTGTCTGGGAGCTAGGGCCTGGAATGGGGGCCTTATGACTCTTACCAGTGCCCTATCCTACTGTGGCTGAGCTGGCCCAATATGCACGACAAAGTCCTCTTTACTCTCCCCTCTTTTCTCCTCAAGCAGAAGGAAGGAGTCTCTTTTGGAACGTGAGCAGTGCTGCCTGAGTTTATGGGAGGAATAGCACAAGCACTCTCTTAGCCACTTCGGCTGGCTTCTTAGTAGGTGGTGTACCCCTCAAGTCCACTGGTTACGAAACCAGCTCAGCACTATTACTCTCCTAAGGGTTGCAGTCCTTGTGGCCTAGACTGTCTTTCAAGTTTATTAGGGCCCCAGAGCACTTTAGCCCGTGGTGATGAGGCTTGCTGAAACTCAAGTTCTGACCACGGGAATGGGTAATTTCCCTCTGGCTAGGGCTCATCTAGATGCTCCCTCCTTCAGCACACACTGGCTGACTTCAGCTGGGTTTTGCTTTCTGCTGTGATAGGACAGCACTGGGTTGAATGCAAAGTCTCACAGTCGCTGCTCTTTCTCTCTTGCAAGTGCACAGATTCTTTCTCTGTACCATGCAGCCACTGCCAGGGGGATGGGGGAGGAGTGGCATCGGCGATTCAAGACTGTCTTTACTACCCTCTTCAATGCCTCTTTCAGTGATATGAAGTTCAAACGTGGTACCGTGAGTGCTCGCCTGATTTTTGGTTCTTAGGAAGGTGCTTTTTGGGTGTAGATAGTTGTTAAGTTTGGTGTTCCTGTTGTGGGGGACAATCAGTGTGGAGCCTTCTATTCAGCCATCTTCCATTAGAGCTCATTTGTGATGGGCAGGTGGGTTAGGGGGACAGCTCCTCAGCTTCCTGGTCTGATGATATTTCCTAGTGGTTATCAAAAGCCTGATGTTCCAAGAATCTATCCTTGGTTTAGACACGGATTTGGGTAACTGCCACCCTTAGTTTCATAAGAATGTGTTGTCATTTACATCTGAGGTTAGAATTCAAGTAGGTACAGGAAATTCCTAACCAATTTCCTCTCTTAACTGGCCAGGTGAGGTCAAATAAATAGGGAGATGAAAAAAGTGAACAATAAGTTTATATAGTCAGAGGAAGTAGTAGTTATAGTGGAGATGTTGGTGATGATGGTGATATCGGTCATCTGGGTAACACTGATGCAGCCATGATGTAGGAATAGTAGGTGTAATCTTGACAAATGCCTGTGATGACAGTTATTGCCTGGGGCTGGCTTTTAGTTGATCTTTTTCACATGATAGGTGGGTGAGTCAGCTACTTTTAAAAGGCTAAGAACAGAGGGGACATGTATAAATCAAAATTTTATAAATTAAATATTTCCACTTTGATTCATACTATAATTTCAGAGACATTCAATCTTTATTTCTGAATGACCTTTCATTGTCAGTGATGGAGTATTTTAGCCTTAAGTTACAATGCCCTGTTGCCTCTGTAACATGTAGTTATTTTGTAAAGAAATTCCTAAATGATTACAGGAACTCATATTTAAACAATCATTTTGTAAAGAGTAATTGTCATATTTGACATATTTCTATTTTTCATCAGATGAAATTTTCTTACACTGAGAGTTCTAAGAGAAATATACTATACTATCCCAAGGCTACATAACTTGTGAGGAATAATATTTAAAAGGATTCAGAGATAACTTATTTGTATATTCCATTTTTTTTCCTTTGGGTGTTGACAGTTTATTCATTTAGGAAATGAAAAGAAATAGCAAAAATGTGATAATGATATTCTAGACATTAAAATGAGAAAAATAACATTTTGTAGCTACATGAAAATTTTTCTCTCTGGAGTTTAAAATGCTGAAGAGAATAATAGAATTATTCTCTCATCGATGAGAATAATTTCATTTACAGTCAATAAAAATATATATTCCATCACAAGCTCTCCATTGTAAATGTAAATAAGATATACTATGCAATAAATCTCTAAACAACCTACTCCAATAATTAAAATTATTTTATTTTCCTTTTTAGTATTTTTTGTCATCATCATCCTGTGATTTTTTTTGCTGAGCAATATTATATGCCTGGTTCCATGCTGGACTTTTATATATATATGATCCCTGTTAATGCTCACAACAGTCCTATGTGGTATCTGTAATTGCCTCTGGCTTTACAGATAAAGAAACTGAGACTCAAGAGATTTTAAACAACTCATCCAAGGACAGTGGTGCACAGAGGAATGACCCCAGGTCTAAGATCATGTTCTCAAATACTGCACGATATTTGACCACAAACATATGTGATTTTCAAGGAGCATCTGAAGTCATGTAAAAAAATTCCTGTAGCTGTTTTATTTATAGTAATATTATATCACAAACACTTTCCGTGTTTGCCACATAACTTCTTAATCAGACGTCCTGTGCACATTTGCTCTGAGCCTCCACTGGGGTGCACTGCCCTCTAGTGGAATTCTATTCTTCAGAAACTTTTTGCCCTCTTTCTGCCCCTAGGATAAAAAGTTGTTTTCTTGTTGCATAACTATTTATTGTTACTGCTTTATTTTAAACATGATAAAATGTTACAAGGTCTTTTATCTTGTATTCTTTAATGTAGAGAGATATGATTATTCCTATTTTGGCGGGTATGTGGAAAATAAATTGAACCCCAGAGAAATTCAGAAATGTACTTCAAGAAAGAATTCATTGTTCCTCGCGTTGAAATAAACATGGCGCCACTATTTCCTGAAGTTAACAGGATATTTAAAGCATCTCTCCTAAAATTACATTTAAAGGCTTGAGGATATGTCAAATTGTGATAGTACCAGCACTGAAAGACAAAGTAGACTCTCCTGGGATCCATAAATAACTTGGAAATATATTTAAAACACAAGAAATTCAAATAGACCAGAATTTGTTTCTGTCTGAGCTCAGGTTAATTCCTCATTTTTAAATATGTTTCTTTTTCTTTTCTTTGTTTCTTTTTTCTTTCTTTTTTTTTTTTTTTTTTGAGACACAGTCTCACTCTGTTGCCCAGGCTGGAGTACCGTGGTGTGATCTTGGCTCACTGCAACCTCTGCCTCCCAGGTTCAAAGGATTCGCCTGCCTCAGCTCCCAAGTAGTTGGGACTACAGGTGGGGGCCACCACGCCTGGCTAACTTTGTATTTTTTTATAGTAGAGATGGGGTTTCACCATGTTGCTCTGGCTGGTGTCAAACTCCTGGCCTCAAGTGATCCGCCCACCTCAGCCTCCCAAAGTGCTGGAATTACAGGCGTGAGCCACCCACGCATGGCCTAGTTTTTAATATGTTTCTAATGAATCTTTTTCACTTTGATATTGTTAAAAATCCTCACAGTATTAAAATGCATAATTGGATAGCTTTGTTTTAATTAGGAAGGACTTTGGTTAATATCGCATTGTTTTAGAGAAAGCAACAGGGATAATGTTTTTTGTTTTGCTTTGTTTTTAGTGAATTAGGCCATTATTTCTGCTACTGTTCATCAGAAAAGAAGCCCTGGGCAAAATTGCTGATGCTATCACATGGAAAAGGGCTGACATGAGTTGTAATTGCTTTGTGTGCACCCAGTGGAACATGCTGTGGAGGGGAGGGGAAAACCCTTCAGCTTCATCTTTACTAGAAAGCCAGCTCTTCAAAATTAGATGTCTTCTTGTGCTTAGTGAATGACCAATATGAAAAAGGAGAAGCAGCAAAGACAGGGTTATATAGCATGTATAACATTTAATAAAAGAGAGAATCATCCAAGACTTCCTAAGGAAATTATATTGATATCTCTGTGCTCTACATTAAAATTGTTTATTTTCTTTGAGCTTAGGTTTCAGGACAGGTAAGAGGATGGTCAAAACTAACATAAAGCAATTTTTAAGACAAATACTCTTCCAAGTAGTACACAAATAAGTTACCCACACAAGGGTAAAAAAAGACGATGGCAAAATGCCTTCAAAGTGTGGAAATGTAGGATAGGTAAAAATCATGGATTATGTATATTGATAAACTCTTTTGTTCACCGAGAATTGACATTCAGCATATTATATACGAAATGAAAATTTGCCTAGGAAATGATCTTTGCTATTTGTAGACCATGCCATATATAAATACCACATTGCAAATAAAATCTTATAGTTAGAAGACTTGTAGGAAGTTGATGTTTTCTATAGGTTCCTCCCCTTACGGTTTAATTATTCTAAATACTTGTAGAGTGTTAATATTATAAGGCAGGATTTCTCAACCTCTATTATGTTACCGATAATTCTGGTTCCTCCCCCTACAGTTTAAGTATTCTAAATACTTGTAGAGTCTTAAAATTATAAGACAGGATTTCTCAGCCTCTGTTACCGATAATTCTCTCTCTGTATGTGTGTGTGTGTGTGTGTGTGTGGGTGTGTGCGTGTGTGTGTGGGTGTGGGTGTGTGTGGGTGTGGGTGTGGGTGTGTGTGGGTGTGGGTGTGTGTGGGTGTGGGTGTGTGTGGGTGTGGGTGTGTGTGTGTTGCTTTTCTATGAATTGTAGAATGTTTAGCACCATCCCTGGCCCCTAAGGCTAGATGCCAGTAGCAAATACTACCCATCCCCCATATGACAATCAAAAATGTCTCTAGACATTGCCAATAAAATCAAAACACTTGTATATATGGCATGGCTGTTCATTCAAGAGATGAGATAATGGTATAGTATTACAGATTGTGTTTTTCAAAGATGACTGCTTCAACATATATATATATGAGATATATATGATAAATATATATAATTTCATATACATATAACATATATGTATATATATCATCTTGCTTGCTTTTCCTATAATGTGACCTTGACATGCATCAATTGAAAGGTGTGTGTGTGTGTCGGGGAGAGGGTATCTATGCTCCTTTCCCTTGAACCAGGTTGTAACTTTGTAACTGTCTCACTGAATATAAGGTCTATCACTGAAGCTAGGTTATAAAAGGCAACACGGCTTCTACCTGGATGTCTCTCTCTCTGGATGCTTGTCCTAGGAACCCATCCAGAATGTTGTGAGGAAGCCTAGGTCACAGGAAGAGATTATGTGTGAGTATTCTGGCCAACAATCCCAGCTAGGCCTCCACCACAGCCAGCACTGACCTCTAGACATATGAATAAGAGGGCCTCCAGATAATTCCAACCTCTAGTCTTTAAGGCTTCAGCTAAGGACCCAGAAATCATGGAGCAGAGGCAAGCTGTCCCTGTCTAATTCCAGATCCACAGAAATAGATGGACAATAAATTTTTTAAATTACTTTCAACTACTAAGTTTTAGAGTAATTTCTTATACAGCAATATATAGCTAAAATATATAGTTTGAATCAGATCTCAAATATGTGTGTATATATAATATGTATATAATATAGATGTAATTTTTTAAATAAGCAGAGTCTAATATTATTGATTAGGATTAAGATTGGCCAATAATACTGATTTTACCCTGTCCTTCTCCACAACATACAAGCATTCCAAAAGGAGAAAGAATCTCTGTCTTCCCGAGTTCCATTAAAAAAAAAAACTAAATGACTAAAAACAACCAGACTCATCCCATAACTACCAGGTCCTTCTCCCATACCACTACTTTATCACTAGTGCACAAAACATCATATTGATTTATGATATGGCAAGCACTGTCAAACTGAATCAATTAACATTTTAGGGCCATTTCATTCCTACAAGCAAACCACATTCAGCTGCTAGAAACACATGAACTAAAGGCCATGGATTTGGTTTTATTTTCCAAGCCACATGGGCATACCCACCTGCTACAAACAAGAGACCCGTAAAGGTCAGACTATAATAAAAAAGCCATCTCCAGTATAACTGCAAACTCTGCACAGTGACATCCCCTGGAATTAAGTGACTTCAAAGTTCTAGAACAAGATAAATTAGTCAACTTTTTATACTACTTTATCAGTAGTGTAATCTTTGGTTACAAATACAGAAAATCTAACCAACACTGACTTCAACAAATGTTTCTTTTTCCCATGTAATAAGATGTTTGGAGATCAGGGCTGTGGGTTCAGAGGCTTGACTATTATCAGGGCCAGCATTTATTTATTTCTTTTTGTTTGTTTGTTTGAGACAGAATTTGGCTCTTGTTGCCCAGGCTGGAGTGCAATGGTGTGATCTTGGCTCACTGCAACCTCCGCCTCCCAGTTTCAAGCAATTCTCCTGCCTCAGCCTCCTGAGTAGCTGGGATTACAGGCACGTGTCACCACGCCCGACTAATTTTGTATTTTGAGTAGAGATGGGG
This sequence comes from Homo sapiens, assembly GCF_000001405.40. NCBI lineage: Eukaryota > Metazoa > Chordata > Mammalia > Primates > Hominidae > Homo > Homo sapiens. The sequence goes on along the minus strand of NC_000003.12, from coordinate 130,756,106 downwards.
GTTTCTCCATGTTGGTCAGGCTGGTTTCGAACTCCTGACCTCAGATGATCTGCCCACCTCGGCCTCCCAAAGTGCTGGGATTACAGGTGAGCCACCTTGCCTGGCCTAGGGCCAGCATTTCTGTTACTCTCTTTACCTTTTCCTCATGCCTCTTGAATCGTGGTCATATTATAGCTACTGCAGCTCTGAGTAATGCATCTGTATTCAAGGCTGGAAGAAAGTCAGAGGGGAAATGGGTGGTGCCAGCAGATTTCTCCTTGTATCTCATTGGACAAAACATAAGGCATGGCTGTGCCTCAGTGTAAGGAAAACTGGAAAAACAAGTACCGCCAATGGCCGCATAAAAATGTGTTCAATGATGGACCACATATACAACGTCCCATAAGATTATAATGGAGCTGAAAAATTTCTATTGCTCACCTGTTTGTGGTGATGCTGGTGCAAAATAACCTGCATTGCCAGTCATATAACAGTCTAGCACATACAACTATGCACAATACAGAATACTTGGTAATGACAATAAACGACTATGTTACTGCTATTTTTAGTATATTATACTTTATATCATTAGAGTGTATGCCTTCTATTTATGAAAACAAAGTTAACTGTAAAACAGCCTTTTGTGCTTCTCAGTTACCACTTTTGACTTATTAGTAATGTGATGTTAGGAAAGTCATATACTTCTCTGCACCTTCATTTTATTATCTGAAAAACAGGGACAGTTTTTTCACAGAATTGATGGGCAGTTCAAATGAATTAATATCTGGCATATTTTATGCCCTATACCAGGGTTAACTTTTCATGGTAATATGACATGTTCTGGCCGGGCGCGGTGGCTCACGCCTGTAATCCCAGCACTTTGGAAGGCCGAGGTGTGCAGATCACTTGAGGTCAAGAGTTTGAGACCAGCCTGGCCAAGATGGCGAAACTCTATCTCTACTAAAAATACAAAAATTAGCCAAGCGTGGTGGTGGGTGCCTGTAATTCCAGCTACTCAAGAGTTTGAGGCACGAGAATTGCTTGAACCCGGGAGGTGGAGGTTGCAGTGAATGGAGACTGTGCCACTGCACTCCAGCCTGAGCTACAGAGCGAGACTCTTTCTCTCTCTCTCAAAAAAAAGTAATATTACATGTTCAAATGTAAAGGTCAAATAGATATTGGATACATGAGTTCAGTGACCAGGTAAAGGTTTGAGAGGGGAAAAACAGTATTATCAGCATACTGATGATATTTAAATCCACAGAACTGGAAAAAGTCACTTAAGGAGAAATTTTAAATTGAGATGAAGTACCTAGAAAAACAGAAGATGTTATAAACATATTATTGAATTGATCTCAAGTAGTGAGCACCATATTTGTAGTGAGCACCATATTTGCCAAACCACTTACCTAACTCAAAAGAAAAACTTTGCCCTGGCCAGGCACAGTGGCTCATGCCTGTAATCCCAACATTTTGGGAGGCCAAGGTGGGCAGATTGGTTGAGCTCAGCAGTTTAAGACCAGCCTGGGCAACACAGTGAAACCCCATTCTACAAAAAAATTTTTAAAAATTGGCCAGGCATAGTGGCTCAGGCCTGTGGTCACAGCTACTCAGGAGGCTGAGGAAAGAGGACTGCTTGATTCCAGGAGGCAGAGGTTGCAGTGAGCCAAGATCATGCCACTCCATTCCAGCCTGGGTGACAGATGTGAGACCCTGCCTCAAAAAAAAAAAAAAAAAAAGAAAAAGAAAAAGAAAAACTTTGCCCGTGATGTTTAACATGTTAACAAATGTCTTCACTGTAAAGATTCAAAGAAAAAAAAATCTTATCTGGATTTTGGTCTAAAGAAAAGCTTTTCATTTCATATAAACTAATTTATTCCCCTTTACTGAACAATGAGAACTACATAAGCCACAAATTTACCTTTTGTGATTAGCTGCCACAATTTCAAAGCTAAATTAATAATTTAACTTTTGTTTGTTTGTTTGTTTGTTTGTTTTTGAGACGGAGTTTTACTCTGTCAGCCAGGCTAGAATGCAGTGGTGTGATCTTGGCTAACTGCAACCTCTGCCTCCCAGGTTCAAGTGATTCTTCTGCCTCAACCTCCTGAGTAGCTGAGATTACAGACACCTGCCACCATGCCTGGCTAATTTTTGTATTTTTAGTAGAGATGGGGTTTCACTATGTTGGCCAGGCTGGTCTCAAACTCCTGACCTCAGGTGATCTGCCCACCTTGGCCTCCCAAAGTGCTGTGATTACAGGCATAAGCCACCACGCCTGGCCAAATTTAACTGAAGTTTAATTTATTAATTCCAAGTACTATTTCTCTGCTCCTTTTGAATGAATATTTATTATTTATTTTTTCATCCTTTTATTTGAGTTAATTTTGTAAAATCACTTCAAATCTTTTGTGGAAGAGAAGTGGTGAAGGATTAGAAGTGGATAATAGTGGAAGATAGAGGAATGGCTTGGATATATGTATTCTGTTTGCCCACCTCCTCCTCTGCAGCCAGCATCTCACTCACTGCCCCTTCAATCCCCCACAGTGGCCTACTCTTTGTTCCTAACTTGTCAAACTTCTCCCCACTGCTAGTCCTTTACCTTTACTCTTCCTTTCGCTTACAACACTATTCCCATTGTTCTTTATTTAGCCAAAACCTGTTCATCTCTTACATTCCAGATTAAATGCCCATATCATGGGCATGTCTTCCCTGACTGCCCCTTATTATATATTCTCGTGGACCCTGTACTTTTTCTCCATAACACTTATTATCAATGAAATCCTTTGATTTTTTTGACTAATCATCTTCTTTAAAAAACGTTAGCCCTTTCATTTCCATTTATTCAAGAACAGTTTTACCCAAGATTATACATTCCAAGAAAATTGGAATCTAGTTCTCCCTATCCTTTGTCTGCCAATTTTTTCATATGTAATGGTGAAAGAGCTTTAGGCCAGGCAGCTTAGGTGTTTTTAAATAAGACCCAGAGAAGTGATAGCAATGAAATAATTACCAACTTTTAAAAACATTTCTGCCACTTTGTTTCTCTCTGAAATATTCAATCTATATTCACATTTCTTCAATTATGCATGAAATGTTTTTTGTAGCTGTTTCTAATCCTGGATCCAGTTGAAGCTCACACATTGCATTTAAATTTCATGTCTCTTTAGAATCTTTTAATTTAGAAAAGTCCATCCATATTTTTCATGGTATTGACTCTTTGAAGAATCCAGGCTAATATTCCATTTTCTGGATCTGTCTGATTGTTTCCTGATGGTATTGCTAAATTAATTTTTCTATTCCTTTTATTTTTTATAGGCTGGAAATTGGTTCTAGAGTGGGGTTGTCTAATAAAAACATAACATAAGCCACATATGTAATTTTAAATTAGTAATCACATTTTAAAAAGTAAAAAGAGGCCGGGAGCGGTGGCTCACACCTGTAATCCCAGCACTTTGGGAGGCCAAAGTGGGCGGATCATGAGGTCAGGAGATCGAGGCTATCCTGGCTAACATGGTGAAACCCCGTCCCTACTAAAAATACAAAAAATTAGCCGGGTGTGGTGGCGGGCACCTGTAGCTCCAGCTGAGGCAGGAGAATGGCGTGAACCCAGGAGCGGAGCTTGCAGTGAGCCAAGATCCCACTACTGCACTCCAGCCTGGGCGACAAAGCGAGGCTCCGTTTCAAAAAAAAAAGTAAAAAGAAAGATTCATTTTAATTAAATATTTCCTTAACCCAATATATCTAAAATATGATTCCAACATATAATACTTATCAAAAATATATTGAGATTTTTTCATTTTTTTGTACTAAGTTCTCTAAAATCTGTATGTTTTCTGTACTAATAGCACATCTCAATTTGTAGTAGCCATATTTCAAGAACTCAATAGTCAAATGTAACTAGTGGCTATCATATTGAGCAGTGAGGTCTAGGGGCTTGATTGAATTCAGGTTACACATTCTTGGCAGCCGGGTGAGGTGACTCACACCTGTAGTCCTAGCACTTTGGGAGGCTGAGGTGGGTGGATCACTTGAGATCAGGAGTTCAAGACCAGTCTGGTCAACATGGTGTAACCCCCATCTCTACTAAAAATACAAAAATCAGCCAGGCATGGTGGCATGCACCTGTAATCCCAGCTACTTGGGAGGCTGAGGCACAATAATTGCTTGAACCCGGGAGGCAAAAGTTACAGTGAGCTTGAGATCATGTTACTGCACTCCAGCCTGGGCAACAGAGCAAGACTGTCCAAAAAAAAAAAAAAAAAAAAAAAAAAGAAAGAAAAGAAAAAAACCAAAAATATTCTTGGCAAGAATGCTTCCTGGGTGACAGTATATATTTCCCATTGCATTATATCAGGAGCCTCATAATATCTGTGTCCTACTATTAATGATACTAACTTTGATCACTTGGATAAAGGGGTTATGAAAAGGTTTTCCACTATAAAAAGTTCATTTTCATTCCTTTTTAACATAGAAAATAATCTGTAGGTATTCCTTGGGTACCATGAGACTATCTTGTTGTTCTACAACTTTTACCCAGTGATTTTAGAACCCATTGACAATCCATGTAGAAATCAATTATTGCACTGCAGGTTACAAAATGGTAATTTCTTATAATTTATTTTGCATGTATTAGCTGGCATTCTTGTATAAGAAGATAAAATATTTACTATTAACTTGAAGGAGCTGTTTACATTAGGGATCCTTCCCCCTTGCCTTATTTTTTCCCTTAGGATGCAAGGATAGCAGAGCTCACGTGGACATCTCACAGGACTGCAAGTGCACTGGTGGAGTAAGCAGCCCAGGAGAGGGAGGAAATGAACAGAGATCAGGCAGATGAATGTATTTATAAAGGCAAGGCTAACTGCTATAATTAATAAATTATGAGATTTTGCTGGCTTATAATGGGGTATACTTTTGCGTATGTAAAAGTTCTATGTGAGTGTGCCTGCTAAGCAAGGGTCTTTCTCCAGGCTGTGATTCGGGGACACAGGCTCCTATCATCTTGTGGCTCTGGCATTAACTAGGGCCTTTAAGTCTTCTGCAACCAGGTTAAAGAGGAAAGAAAGTGGAAATCATTCACCTCTTAACTATTGTGTACTAGAAATGAAACACAAAATTTCCACCTGAACTTCATAGTGAAAGCTAGTAAAATGGCTCCACTTAGATGCAAACAGTGGCGTGGGACTGAAAAATATGGTTCCTATAGTTCAGGCACTTCCCAGAAACATCTATTTTCTGTGGAAGGGGACAGTTAGCCATCACTGCCAAAATGCAGCTGCAAGGACACTGGCTAGAGGATGGTCTAGTGTTTGCTGGCTCTTTCTTAGTTTGACTTCAACAGCAGCAAGTAAATTTTATCTTTTATTTGCTTTGAAAAGAAATAGGTGAGATTTCTTTAAATAATTCTCCATGGACAGTCATGATTGCTGTTTAACAATAGAAGAAACGAAAGAAGGAAGAAAGAATGAGAAGGAAAGGAAGAAAAAAGAAAACGAAGAATTGGAAAAAAAAAGAAAAGAAAACCATATGTAGTGAGTATAGAAGGCATTGAAAAAACCCACAAGTTATTTCACAAAATGTAATGTTGGGGAAAAATACATGTTGGGAAAAGCAGAAATAATCTAAATTGAGACATATTTACCATATTTCCATGCCATTATTTCTCTATTGGAGAGATATCTAAAGCACTTACATACGTGGTATTCAGAGTCTGAAATATAAGCTTACTCTTTAAAAAAATATTATCTGGTAATTAACTGAGTGCTTCCACTGATTTTATGTATATATTTTAGATGTTCCCAGTCCTGGGACTCCTGACCTTGGCCCTAATGATCACAAATCTCACAAAGTCCACATTTATTGATTCAAAAAATACCAGTTGAATGTCTATCATCTGTTAGGTATGGTTCTAGGTGTTGAAGACACCCTCGTGAGTAAGAATCACACAATCACTGTTGTTGTGGAGTTTACGGTCTAGTGGTAAAACAGACAATAAGCAAATAGTTATCCCTCAAACTCAAAAGAATTCAATAATAATAAGCACTGTGAAGGAAAAGTAGAAGGTCCATGAAAGTATATAATGGGGGGCAGTCAGTGAAGAATTGCATGAGGTGATGGCACCTAATCTGGGACTTGAAGGATAAAAAGATTTTGGCTAAAGAATAGGGGAAACAGTGTTCTAAGCAGAATAAAGAGTAAATGTGAAGGACGAGCAGTAGGAAAAGGTTTGACAAATTAGAACAGGATAGAAACAAAGAGAAAGCCAGTGTGGGAGCTGAGAGGGACAGTGAGTAATGTCAACTACAGTGCAGCAGGTGGGCAGGGGTCAGATCATGCAAGGTTTTGTGGGCCAAGATATGGATTTTTAATGTTAACCTAAAAATGAGGAGGAGCTTCTAGAAGGATGTAGGCATAGATGTCTTATGATTATAATTTCATTTAAAAAAGACTACTCTAGGACTAGCCATGTCAGACATTAAAACATCATACAATTATTTTAAAAGTACTGGTAGATGAATTAAATAGTACCTCAATGGACAGAAAAGAAAGTCCAGCAGAAGACCCAGATATATATAGGAAATCTGTTATATGGTAAATTTGACATTTCAACTAGGTGGGGGGAAATATATTACTCAACATTTTTAGATAACTGAGTAACTCTCTAGAAAAAAATAAAGTTGTAGCTATACTTCAGAAATTTGAGAGCACAAAATGAAACCGTAAAAGACCCAGAAAAAATTTTGGGAGAAGTATACAAAATAATATCAGGAGTGAGGAGTGCCTTTTCTGTGTGGGTTTCAAAATGTAGACATCATGACAATGATGGTTGCTTGGCCTAGGCCTTGAGATGGCAGTGAATGGGTTCAAGGCATATTTTGGGGATAGAATCAGCAAGAGCAAGTGATCACTGAATGGGAGGAATGAGTGTGGTGAGGAAGGAGGGGGAGAGTAGGAATATGTTAAGGATGACTTAATGAGTTCCAAATTTATAGTCTTGAGGAATTCAGTGGGTAGTAGTGCTGCATATTGAGATGGAGAAGAAGGGAGGAGGGAATGTTGCAGGGATAATAACGATTTCAGCTTTGGATTAAAACATTTTGTGTTTCAAAGAATACTATCAAAAAAGTGAAAAGACAACAGAGAGAAAATATTTGCAAATAATATCTCCAACAAGGGATTTGTATCTAGAATATATAAAGAATGCTTACAACTCAATAATAAAAAGACAAATAAACCAATTAAAAAATAGTCAAATCATAAACATTTCTTCAAAGAAGATATATGAATAGAAAACAAGCACAATAAGAAAGATGCTTAACGGAATTGGTTATTAGGGAAATACAAATTAAAGCAACAATGAGATACCACTTAACAGCCACCAGGATAATAAAAAAAGAAGATAATAACAGTGTCAGCAAGAATGTGGAGAAATTAGAGCCCTCATATATTGCTAATGGGAATGTAAAATGGTGCCTGCACTTTGGAAAACAGTTTGGCAGTTTCTCAAATGTTAAACATAGAGCTACCATATGAGCCCACAATTTCGTTCCTCAGTATCTATCCAACAGAAATGAAAACATATGGCAACACAAAGACTTATAGACTAATGCTATGAACATAGGAACATTATTCATAATAACGTAAAAGTAAAACAACTCAAATGTCTATTAACTAACAAAAGGGTAAACAAAATTATTTGCAACAACAAATAAATGAAGTACTAATACAAGCTACAATAGGGATAATCCTCAAAAACATTACCCAAAGTGAAAGTCAGTCACAAAGACCACATATTATATATAAAATGTCCAGAAAAGGCAAGTGTATACAAACAGAAAGTAGATTAATGATTGCCTAGGGCTGGAAGGGGGAGGAGAAATGGGGGAGAACAGGGAGTGACTCCGAATGGTTTCAGGGTTTCCTTTTGGGGTAATGAAAATGTTTAAAATCAGGCAGGCTGGGCGCGGTGGCTCATACCTGTAATCCCAGCACTTTGGGAGGTCGAGGCGGCGGATCACTTGAGGTCAGGAGATCCAGACCATCCTGGCCAACATGGTGAAACCCCATCTCTACAAACAATACAAAAACTAGCGGCCGGGCGCGGTGGCTCACGCCTGTAATCCCAGCACTTTGAGAGGCCGGGTGGATCACGAGGTCAGGAGATCGAGACCACGGCGAAACCCCGTCTCTACTAAAAAAAAAATACAAAAAATTAGCCCGGCGCGGTGGCGGGCGCCTATAGTCCTAGCTACTCGGGAGGCTGAGGCAGAAGAATGGCGTGAACCCGGGAGGCGGAGCTTGCAGTGAGCCGAGATCGCGCCACTGCACTCCAGCCTGGGCGACAAGAGCGAGACTCCGTCTCAAAAAAAAAAAAAACAAAAACCTAGCTGGGCGTGGTGGCACGTGCCTGTGGTCCCAGCTACTCTGGAGGCAGAGGCATGAGAATCGCTTGAACCCGGGAGGTGGAGTTTGCAGTAAGCCGAGATGGCACCACTGCATTCCAGCCTGGGTGACAGAGCCAGACTGTCTCCAAAAGAAAAAAAAAAAGGCCGGGCGCGGCGGCTCACGCCTGTAATCCCAACACTTTGGGAGGCTGAGGCAGGCGGATCACGAGGTCAGGAGATCGAGACCAACCTGGCTAACACGGTGAAACCCCGCCTCTACTAAAAATACAAAAAAATTAGCCGGGCGTGGTGGCGGGCGCCTGTAGTCTCAGCTACTCGGGAGGCTGAGGCAGGAGAATCGCTTGAACCCGGGAGGTGGAGGTTGCAGTAAGCCGAGATCGCTCCACTGCACTCCAGCCTGGGCGACAGAACGAGACTCAGCCTCAAAAAAAAAAAAAAAAAAAAAAAAAAAAAAAAAAAAAAAAAAAAAAATTAAAATCAGATTATAGGGATGATTGCACAACTCGATAGATGTATTAAAAACTACTGCTTTGTACATTTTAAGCAGGTGAACTTTATGGTATGTAAGTTATATCTCACCAGAACTCTAAAAATCCAGCTTGGGATATATTAGTTTTCCTAAATATTCTTGAGTTCTCTTAACTCTGTTCTGCTGTCCTGGGAGTGAAGGCGTGTCTGAGCAGATTCTAGGGGATGTCAGAAACCTCAGCGTTCGTGAATGAAAGGTAGAAGAGCAGGAAGGGGAATAGATCTTTGTCAGAGCATCATTTTCTCCCTGTAGACTCGCCCAAAGTAAGACCACGCCTTCCCTAGTTTCCTAGCAACCGGTTTCCTACCCTGGCAATTCCTCAAGGCTCACTCTTTTTCGTCACTTCCGCTCGGCGACAGGAAGTGAGGTCAGACCGGTTGCTTTCCCGGGAGTTCGGCGTTTGCTGGGGCTGCAGCAGCTGAAGTGTAGTGTTTTCTTGGGACTGGCGGTCTGCACTTCTCTCCCGGGTTCCATCTCCCCCCGCCCGGTGGTGAGGCCCTCGAGGAGGGCTCGGACGGGTGTAGCGATCCGCGCTAGAGGAAGACGAGGCCCGGGAACGCATGTCCCCCAGGGCAGGTTAGGGGGCTGGAGGGGTCAAATCCCGGGGTACTTGTGGAGACTCTTTAGCGTGGCTTCTTCTCTCTGCTGAGACCCCGAGAGCTTTCCCAGTTCTCCTCCCAGGACCACCGGGGTTCCTGAAGATCGGGACTTTTCTGCGCCCCTCCACCAACAGCCCATCTCCTGTCTATGAAGAAAGACCCTTCGTAGAAACAACTTCCCCGCTGCTGACGCGTTTTCCCGTCCCGTCCCCGAAGTAGTCTACTATGACCTCGTTGTGAGCCTCTGAACGATTTTGACACTTTCCCGAGGCCTAGGGTAAATGTTTATGTGTGCTCAAGGTCGTGTGTGTATATGTGTGGCATTTATTTCCTGCAAAACCTGAGTTAGCAGAACCCTGGGGTACGTTTAGCTAGTGTATACTTTGGTCTGCTTTTCTTTAACATCTGTGGCAAGGTTTCTTGTTGCAGACCAGCGAAGTTTGCACCTTCTTTTAGCTGGGTGAGAGGGCACACTGGAATTAGGCAGGAAGTGTCCAGGAGTTAACTGAATTTTTAGATCTTAGTTTGACCTTTTCAGTTTTCAGTTTTTCTTTTTTTTTTTTTATTTTTTGAGACGGACGGAGTCTCGCTCTGTCACCCAGGCTGGAGTGCGGTGGCGGGATCTCCACTCACTGCAACCTCTGCGTCCTGGGTTCAAGCAATTCTGCGTCAGCCTCACGAGTAGCTGGGATTACAGGCACCCACTACCACGCCCGGCTAATTTTTGTATTTTTAGTAGAGACGGGATTTTAACCATGTTGGCCAGCCCCGTCTTGAGCTCCTGACCTCGTGATCCTCCCGCCTCGGCCTCCCGAAGTGCTGGGATTACAGGCGTGAGCCACCGCGCCCGGCCAGTTTTAAGCTTTTAATGTGTCTCTTTCTTATTTCCAAGAAACTACAGATTCTTGGACAAGAACTATGTCATATGGTAACTTTGTAATTCTCATAGCCCCAAGCACAGCACGGAACACATAGTAAAGGCTCATTAATATTTTAAATTTAAATATGAGAAAATAACACAAACTAACATTTTTGGCTTAAAGTTGAAGAGGCCTATCTAAATATAGTTCAGCTCCTGGAAATGGCGATGCGCAATAGCAGGGTATTTTTAGGTAAAATAACAAGGTCTTCTTGGAGAAAATAACATGGTCTTTTTAGATAAATGTGTGTGAAATTTAGAGGCTGCCCCAGAAGGCTAGGTACAGTGCTGTTAGTGGAAGAGAAGTATGCTGCATCTGTCTTTTTGGAAGAGACCAAATAATGGAATAATGGTGTTTCACAGCTTCTTTGTTTCTTGTCTTTTTTCTTCATTTGTTTTTATTTTAAACAGGTATTATATCCTAACCTTACTAAAGACCACAGAGGTGCTTGCCATTATGGGAAATCAGCTTGCTGGCATTGCTCCCTCCCAGATCCTTTCTGTAGAGAGTTATTTTTCAGATATTCATGACTTTGAATATGATAAAAGCCTGGGGAGTACTCGGTTTTTTAAAGTTGCTCGAGCCAAGCACCGAGAAGGCCTGGTCGTTGTGAAGGTTTTTGCAATTCAGGATCCCACATTGCCTTTAACCAGCTATAAACAAGAGCTGGAGGAACTGAAAATCAGGCTTAATTCTGCACAGAATTGTCTACCTTTCCAGAAAGCATCAGAAAAAGCATCTGAGAAAGCAGCTATGCTCTTTAGGCAGTATGTGCGAGACAATCTCTATGATCGCATCAGTACCCGTCCATTCTTGAATAACATTGAGAAGCGCTGGATTGCTTTCCAGATCCTGACAGCTGTGGACCAAGCACACAAATCTGGAGTTCGTCATGGGGACATCAAGACTGAGAATGTGATGGTCACCAGTTGGAATTGGGTTCTTCTAACTGATTTTGCCAGTTTTAAGCCCACTTATCTTCCAGAAGACAACCCGGCAGATTTCAATTATTTCTTTGACACATCACGGAGGAGAACTTGCTATATTGCTCCTGAACGTTTTGTTGATGGTGGGATGTTTGCCACTGAGTTAGAATATATGAGAGATCCTTCAACTCCGCTTGTAGACTTAAATAGCAATCAGAGAACAAGAGGAGAGTTGAAGAGAGCAATGGACATCTTTTCAGCAGGTATTTGAGTGGGTCACATTTGCTAAGGGAGCATGTGTTTTTCTTTTAACTGTTAAACAGAAATGTGGCTTTTTTTAGTCACCAGATATTGAAAAGTTAATGTCTTGGTTTGTCCTCAGACGCTATTTCAGTTAGAGGCAGCATTCCTGCATTGGATATGTTTAAATGCCTAGGAAATGCAAACAGCAGTTTATTTACACAAACATATAAACATATTTGCTTGCCTACTTTTATTGTATGTGTCAGGCACTGTCCTAAGTGCTAGGGATATTGGTGGATAATATATTTTCATAATGCTTCCATTTTAAAGTGACCGTGGATATTGCAAAAGGACATTTCAATGCGGTGTTGATTGCTGTGGTGGTGATAAGCATAGGGTGCTGCTATAGGAACACATAGATATTTAAATTAGTCCTCATGGTGGTGTTGAGTCAAGAGGTGGGATCAAGAAAGGCCTCTTTAATAGAAAGATGATATTTACATTGAAACCTGAAAGTTGATTGGGAGTTAACTTTCGTAGAGTAGTTTGTTTCAGGCAGAGGATGTTGCCTATACAGAAGCTTAAAGACCAGAATATGATGCACTGATGTGTTTTCTGGAACACAGTGTGAATTAAGCAAGGCCCAAACTCAGCCAGATCAGAAAGGGTCTGGCCTGACTGGAGCATGGAGAGTGAATTTTGCAGGGGAGCTACACAGAAGACAGGAAAACAAGTTAGGAGAAAACTGCCACAGTCCAGGTAAGATGATTGTGACCGGCTTAAGATTGTGGCAGAGTTGGAAGGAGTGGAGAGAAGTGGTAATGCTTAAGAGATAATTAGTAGATAGAATTGTTAGGATTCTGTCATTGGAAGGTGAAGTCACAGGAACTTCTCTCGCCCACCAAACTGAGTGGATGGTGATGCTGGTCCCTGAGACAGGGAGACACAGGAGGAGCAACAGGTTAGGTTGGGAAGATGATGAGGTCTGTTTAAGATATGGTAAGTTTGAGATTTCTGCCAAGTATGCAGGAGAAGATGTACAACATGTATTTGGTTATATTTTTATTTATTTTTAATTTATTATTATTTTTTAGAGGTAGGATCTCACATTGTTGCCTAGGTTGGTGCCCAGTGGTGCAATTGTAGCTCACTTCAGCCTCCAACTCCAATGATCCTCTTGCCTCAGCTTTCTTTGTGTAGCCGGGACTGCAGGCGTGCACCACCACACCCAGTTGACTTTTTTTTTTTTTAACATTTTTGGTAGAGACTATTTTACTGTGTTGCCCAGAATGTTCCTGAACGCCTGAGCTCAAGCTGTCATCCCACCTCAAGTTTCCAAAGTATTGGGATTACAGGCATGAACTACCACACCTAACCCAGCAGTTGGTTATAAATTTTTGGGCATAGAAATCTGGGATAGAGATGGAGATTTGGGAGTTATCAGGAAATAGGTAGTAATTGTAGCCAGGGAAAGGTTGTACAGAAGTGATTCTGAAGCTTTTTTGGATACCCTTAAAAAATTTAATGAAATCAGTGGACTCCTTCCCCAGAAAAATGTACCATGCATTCATTCCTATATATTATTTCACATACACAGACCACATGAAGCTGAGCTATGGATTCCAGATTATTTAAGAATTTGTGGGATAGAGAGGAAGAAGTGTGTTGAGAGTGGTACTCTGATAGACTTCAAAAGAAATCTGGCATCGGTGCCATTTTTGGTAAATTTTGTGATGGTTTGGCTTAATTTTTTTCTTGCTTGTAGGTTTATTACAAAAAACATAAATTGAGCCAAATTTTAGATTATTTAGGAAAATTAATTGATGAATGAATGTATTTCATCTACCAGAATGAATAATGTTATTCAGGATTGCACCTATGTTGGTCTATTCAGCTCACTAATCTGTGTCCCAAGATAATACTGAGAGATGTTTTGATAAGATAGGGTTAGCCTCAAGGTTGTAAATACAGTATAACAAGGTTAGAAATGTAATCCATCAAAGTTCCAGTTTTGTTGATCAGTGTATTAAAATTTTCTTGAACCATTTTTACATTTTAAACTCACTAATTGTTATGTAATCCTTTAGCTTAGGAATTGCGTCACTTTCAAACTTCAGGGGATCATTCATAGGTTTAAAATTTCAGTGGTTGATAAGCTTATTTTTATCCTTTTTTTGTGCATTATAGTTTTGTAAACTTCAACAAAATTCACACTCAGCATTTATTTTTCCAGACCAAAGAGCCTTACATTGTTTTGGCTGAAGGTAGGCCCTTCCGTTCCTTTGAAAAAGAGGTGGGTGGCATCTGTCCACTTCCCAGTGCTCTTAAGATTTGAATGTTTGGGTTTTGAGTGCTACTTTCCCCTCTTGATGGATATCCATGGTTCCAGGCTGCTGGTTTGGGAGAAGTGTTCAGCGAGTCCTGACGTCCTTGATAGGCTCTTGGAAACTGCTACTTTAAGTGAAACAGTGTAAAGCAGGTCCATCAAATAATGTCGTTTTCATTATAATGAAATGGTGAGAAAATAAATGGTTTTGTTGTACGTTGTTGTACTTAAAGTTGCAGTTTCCAAGAACCCATCGATACCGTTGAGGACTTACCATATATATTCTGCCTCTGGTCCAGTACATAGGCATAGCCTTGTGTGCTGCAGATCTTTCATTCATTTTGACATGCATTTGAGCATATTATGTGCAAGCCATTGTTACGTAGGTGCCAGGAATACAGTTGACTAAGCTTTTGCCATTATGGAGCTTTCATTCTAGTGGGGAGAGAGATAGAATAAACAAGTAAATAAGAAAGTTAATTTTGGTTAGTGATGTGTTATAGCCAAGCAGAATGATATTGAAAAGGCTGGTAGGGCACTACTTTAAGATAAAATGGTCAGGGAAGGCCTCTCTGATGAAGGTAACATTTGAGCTGAGATTTGAATGATACAGACTCAGTGATGATAGTGACGATTTAAACAAGTTGTTCCACAGGGAAATACCACCCAATAACATCTTTCAGAATAAAATCGTAAAAGTTTTGAGAAAATAAATATGAATTCACTGCTGCATTAGTTTGTTAGGGATGCCATAACAAAATACCATAGAGATGGTGGCTGAAACAAGATTTATTTTCTCTCAGTTCTGGGGGCTGGAAGTCCAAGATCAAGCTAACAGGGTTGGTTTCTTCTGAGACCTCTTTCCTTGGCTTGCAGATAGCCATCTTCTGGCTGTGTCCTCATGGGTTTTTCTCTGTGAATGAGCATACATGGTGTCCTTTCTTATAAGCACGCCAGTCATATTGGATTAAGGGCACACCCTTATTACCTCTTTAACCCTAATTAACTCCTTAAAGGCTCTGCCTACAAATACACTTAGATTCTAAGGTATGGAGATTAAACATATGAACTTGCAGGAGGGGAGGCAGGGGGCACTTGACACACAATTCAGTCAATAAAACCTCCATTTAGTTATAAATAGTCATATGTCACTGTGTTTTTTTCTGACTTTATTTGGAAATACTGTAATTTCAAACTTGAAAGCCTTAAAAACTTACAGACTTTTAAACTTGCAAAAATAAAAATAGAACAAAGGAACACCCATATACACTTTACCCAGATTCACCTATTGTTAACATTTTGCCCTGGTTGCTGTATCATTGGTATCGTTTTCTTCTTCCTCACGCCCCATTTTTTCCCTAACCTTATGAAATAAGTTACATATATTATGGCCCTTTACCCTGAAACATTTCAGTGTGTATTTTTTACTTTTTATTTATTTTTATTTTTTGAGACAGAGTCTTGCTCTGTCACCCAGGCTGGAGTGCAGTGGCGCGATCTTGGCTCATTGCAACTTCCACCTCCTGGGTATCATGCTGCTGCCTCCTGAGTAGCTGGGATTGCAGGCATGTGCCACCATGCCTGGCTAATTTTTTTGTATTTTTAGTAGAGACAGGGTTTCTCCATGTTGGCCAGGCTGGTCTTAAACTTCTGGCCTCAAGTGATCCGCGCCCCCTTGGCCTCCCTGAGTGCTGGGATTACAGGTATGAGCCACTGTGCCCGGCCTTCAGTGTTTTCTAAGATGAGGTATAGTCTGTTACAAAACACAATATAGTTAATGGCTGCAGTAATTTTAACATTGATACAGTAATTACACTTTTTATTCTAATTTTGTATTTGACCCAATAATGTCTCTTATAGCATTTTGCCTGTTTCAGGACAGGACCTTGTTTAGGGTTCAGGTATTACATTTAGTTGTCATATCTCTTTAGCCTCCTTTAATATTTCTACAGCCTTTTTTTCTTTTGTTATTATCACATTGCCATTTTTTGAAGAATGCCTCCCCCCACTTAATTTTTCAAAATCATTTTTATACATTTTAGTTTGAAATTATTGTAGAATCAAAGGAAGTTGCAAGAATAGTGATGTATCCTTCACCCAGCTTCCCCCAATGATGACCTTTTATGACTGTTGTACCATATCAGAATCAGGAGTTGCCATAGGTGCATTACTGTTAACTAGAGTATAGCCCTTACTCAGTTTTCACCAGCTTTTACATGCATTCTCTATGTCACCCACTCCTTTGTTTTTTGATAGGATGTTTCTCATTTTGAGTTTGTCTAATGTTTCCTCATGATAAGATTTATGTTATAACTTAGTAGGAATACTGCATAGATGGTGATGGATTTTCACAGGGTCACATCTGTAAACAAATGATGGTTGTTTGTGATGTTAATTTTAATCATCTGGTCAAAGTCTTCCCAAATTGTCTCCCCTCTATAGTTTTTTATTTTTTTTCAATCCCTTGCAACTAATAACCTGTGGGAAGAGTTTTAAGATGTGCAAATATGCTTGGTGTGGTGGCTCAAACTTGTAATCCCAGCACTTTGGGAGGCTGAGGTGGGCAGATTCTTGAGCCTGGGAGTTCAAGACCAGCCTGGACAATATGGTGAAACCCTGTCTCTACAAAAAATGTAAAAAATTAGTTGGGCGTGGTGGTGTACACCTGTAGTCCCAGCTACCCGGGAAGCTGAGATGGGAGGATCACCTGAGCCCAGGAGGTCCAGGCTACAGTGAACTGTGATCACACCACTGCACTCCAGGCTGGGTGACAGAGTGAGACCTTGTATCAAAAAACAAACAAAAGGCCAGCGCGGTCGCTCACGCCTGTAATCCCAGCACTTTGGGAGGCCAAGATGGGTGGATCACGAGGTCAGGAGATCGAGACCATCTTGGCTAACACGGTGAAACCCCGTCTCTACTAAAAATACAAAAAATTAGCTGGGCGCGGTGGCAGGCGCCTGTAGTCCCAGCTACTCGGGAGGCTGAGGCAGGAGAATGGCGTGAACCAGGGAGGCGGAGCTTGCAGTGAGCTGAGATAGCGCCACTGCAGTCCGGCCTGGGTGAAAGAGTGAGACTCCGTCTCAAAAAAACAAAACAAAACAAAAAAACAAACAAAAAAAGGTGTGCTAATATCCTGCCCATTACCACGGTTTATCGCTTGACATTTGGCATCCATTGATGATTCTTGCCTGATTGAATTTTTGTTATGATGGTTGCAAAAATGATTTTTCCACTCAAATACGTCCTCCACATTCAACAGTAGGACCTCAGCATTCTGCTGTACTCAAGGATCCTCTGTTTTGCCCCATTTATTTATTTATTTATTATTGGTATAGACTAATTCTTAATTTTTTTCAGTTGTATATATTTATTACCTTGTTAATTATATTGGTGCACCAGTTGTCTCAGATTTGGCCAGTGGGAGAAGGAGCCTTCTCAGGCTGATTCCTGTGTCCTTGTGACAGTCCTCATCTTTTTTTTTTTTTTTAAGCATTTCTTTACTTTTTGATATAAGATACCGTACTTACCCTGCCTTAGTGCTCAAACCAGCCATTAAGGAAGCCTAATTCTTTTAGTGTGTAGTGAATTATATTAGAAGCCTCTATCTAGTGCTCGTTGCCATTAGATTGTCTTTGACACTTTGCTCTTACAGCTGACAAAGCCAGGCAATATATGTAGTGTGTGTGTGTTGTACTCTGCTTTTGTTGGGTGGAGTGTTCTGTCGATATCTGTTAGATCCAGTTGGTGTTTTTCCCTACTGTTTTTTTCGCCTCAGCACCAACTTCTAGATTATATTTTATGTGCTTATGTTCCTCAACTTACAACGGAGTTACATCCCAGTAAACTGATTAGAAGTTGAAAATATCATAAATAGAAAATGCATTTAATACACCTAACTTATTGAACTTCATAGCTTACCCTACCTTAAACTTGCTCAGAAACTTACTTACATTAGCTGGTTAATTTTAATTGTATTTTTCGGGTCCTCTGTTTCCTTGTTGCTTATGGTGTTTTTAATAGCTGTTTTTCGAAGTCCTTCATTCTAAAATGTGACACTATACAGAGAGAAATTAACAAATTTATTGAGTGTTTATTATGTGTTAGGAACTTAGTTGCTGGAGATTTTTCAATGAATAGAGAAAAATAGAAAAATCCCTTCCTCATGTAAATTGCGTTCTAGTGGGCATGTAGACAAGAAGAAACATAGAGACTGTCCCCACTTTGCAATGGTTCAGCTTATGATTTTTTGATTTTACCATGGTGCAAAAGTGATACACATTCAGTTGAAATGTATTTGGAGCACCCATACAATCATTCTGTTTTTCACTTTCAGTTCAGTATTCAATAAATTACGTGAGATGAATCACTTTATTGTGAAATAGGCTTTGAGTTAGATGTGTTTGCCCAAATGTAGGCTAATGGAAGTGTTCTGATCATGTTTAAGGTAAGCTAAGCTGGAAAATTCAGCAGGTTAGATGTATTAAATCCATTTCTTTTTCTTTCTCTTTTCTTTTTTTGAGACAGAGTCTGGCTCTGTTGCCCAGGCTGGAGTGTAGTGGCCCGATCTCTGCTTACTGCAAACTCTGCCTCCCAGGTTCAAGCGATTTTCCTGTCTCAGCCTCCCAAGTAGCTGGAATTACAAACGTGCACCACCACACCCGGCTATTTTTTGTATTTTCAGTAGAGATAGGGTTTCACTGTGTTGGCCAGGCTGGTCTCGAACTCCTGACCTCAAGTGATCTACCTGCCTTGGCCTCCCAAAGTGGTGGGATTACAGGCATGAGCCACCGTTCAATATTTTTAACTTTTCGTTGATTTATTGGGATCTAACCCCATTGTAAATAGAGCAGCATCTGTACATAAAATATAACCTGGAAGTTGTTGCTATGGGGGAAAAACAGTAAGGAAAGGGAAAAGGGAATGTGTCCGGTGAGGGGTGTGGCGGTAGTTGTGGTAGTGGGGCCTGCAGTTTTAAACCGGCAATCAAGAAAGGCATTACTGCTGAGTGACATTTGAGCACCTGAAGATCTGAAGGAGGTGGAGGTATAAGCCACATGGATCCTTGGGGGAATAGCATTCTAGGTAGAGGGAGTAGCAAATGCACAGGCTGTGAGGTGAGGTTATTTAAGGATCTCTTTAGACTTGTTAAATGCCTGTCATGTAATGATTTCAGTTAAACTGTGTTGTCCTTTTGGAAATGTGGATACTTACAAAATTTCTGGTTTGAAGATTATATAAGTGCAAAACGAGAGTTATCTCTCTTTTCCTCTCCCTAATCTTACAGCTACACTTTTTAGCATTTCACATATTATGTTTGTTCACTGCTTTATTTTCTGTCTTCCTTCCTAGAATGAAAGCTTCATGAGGGCAAGGATTTTATCTGCTTTATGTACTGCTTGTGCCTAGGGCATAAACTTTCTGTTTAATGATGAATAAATGATTTGTCGGATATGACTTTGTAGTAGTAATTCCTTATGAATCTAATGTCTGTAAGTCCATACTTGAAAAAAAAAGTTTCTTGTTTTATCACTCTATGTAAATTGTATATATTACATATATACATTCATTTTATTTTATTTTATTTTATTTTTTTGAGATGGAGTCTCACTCTGTCATCCAGGCTGGAGTGCAATGGCACGATCTTGGCTCATTGCAGCCTCTGCCTCTCTCTACCTCATCTCCTGGGTTTAAGTGATTCTTGTGCCTCAGCCTCCCAAGTAGCTGGGACCACAGGTGTGTGCCACCATGCCCAGCTAATTTTTGTATTTTTGATAGAGACGGGCTTTCATCATGTTGACCAGGCTGGTCTCGAACTCCTGACATCAGATGATCTGCTGGCCTTGGCCTCCCAAAGTGCTGGGATTACAGGTGTGAGCCACCACATCTGGCCTATACATTCATTTTAAATTACAGAACGGGGGAATTATTTAAGTTTTTTTAAGAGGGAGAAAAATTGTATGGCTCTTCTTTGACTTTATACTTTAGAAACCAGTGTTCGGGTAATAGACATTTTCCCTGTCAGCTTGATTGTAGTTGTATGTTGCATTAAAATTTTTAATTTCATTTACTTTGGGGTTTTGCATTTTGGGTTTTATGAACTGTCTGAGTTCTCAATCTATATTGCATGATATTTTTTATCTCTTTTCTAACAGAATTATACCTGCTATTTTTCAGGTTGTGTGATAGCTGAGCTTTTTACAGAAGGTGTACCATTATTTGATCTCTCTCAACTTTTGGCTTATAGAAATGGACATTTTTTCCCTGAACAAGTGCTAAATAAAATTGAAGATCACAGTATCAGAGAATTGGTAACTATGCTACAAATATTCGCCATAAAGTTTTTAATAGGATCTAGTTCCCACTTTTGCTTTAATCAGATTTCTGGAATGTTGTAAATTTGGAATCAAGCAGTAAAACACCATAGACTAATATAAACAGCCTTTTGTTATTACTTTGTTAGGGAAGAATGTACTGTTTTTTTCCCCTTCAGGCACAGAGCTCATTTGACTTAAAAAAAATCTATTTATTATCTATTTTCCCACTATAATCTTCAGTGTGCTTTTTACAGATTTGGAAGGAGGTAAGGTAGTTTCTAGGGGTTGGAGAGGTTGTCCTGGCTAGAGCTTGCTAGTAAGAAATGAAGAAGACAGACATTTGAAATGGAGGGGACAGGAAATGTCAACTTGAATGTAATACAGCAATACAGGGCCATTGCATATAGAAGCAAATAGCTTTGTATTAATATATGAAGCTGAGGGCAGTTCTGGAAAGGCAGCTACAGAAGCACAAATTAGTATAGCAGAATGGGCGTGAGGAGTCGTGTGGGGGATCACGTAAGCCACATAGCTACATTATTGTTTGAGGGCATCTTTTCTAAGTCAGTTATAGGGTAACTGATATTGTGGTGATGACTCTGAGTCATGGAAAAGATTGTGGTGTGTTTAGAATATTCTTTAATTATGTAGGGAGATATGTAATACATTTTAATTTCTCTTAAGTATGTCAAATATTAAAAAATAAGGTGCTTCAGAGGAAGCCAGTTGAGGCCATATTTATTGAACAGTGCACTGGATGAGGAGTTGGTGTAGTGTTCTGTCTTTGGGTATGGCACATACTTGTTACGTTGCTTTGGTTATATAACTTCATGTCTTTGGGCATACATTTTCTGAACTGCGAAAGAAGTGAATTTGTTTAATTTTTAGGGCCTAGTCCAAACTAAAAGCAATTCTAACTAGTTAACATTTTCTTTTAGTACATTTGAGTCCCCCATGTTCACTACTAAGCTCTTATTTAAACTGTAAACAGAAAGTTCAGATAACTCAATACATTTTGTGATATTGTATTTCAATAATGACTGATACCCTATGAGTGTCCCAGAAAGATTAAACTAT
Organism: Homo sapiens; assembly: GCF_000001405.40. Taxonomy (NCBI): domain Eukaryota; kingdom Metazoa; phylum Chordata; class Mammalia; order Primates; family Hominidae; genus Homo; species Homo sapiens. Next base: position 130,734,785 of record NC_000003.12, on the reverse strand, counting down.
GTTCTGTGCATTGAAAAATATTTATTTCCCTATGATACTAGAAAACCATAGGATAAATTCAAATTAGGTGTATCATTTCTAGTGTTTGCAGAATTTAACATCTCTTTGACACTATTTGAAAACTTTAAGCCACTGATTCCCCTACTGATTAGATCCTAGAGCTATACTTAAACCACAGATTCCTTTGCACTTGTGGCAATAAGGTTCTGAACCATAACTCAACCCGGGATATGTAAATGGATTTTAGGGGTTCTGTGATTCCTTCCAGAATTGTATGTGTTTTTTAATGCAAAAATTGTGTGTATACATTTTTCTCTGGAAGAGATCCATTGCTTTCCTCAGATTCTTAGTGGTATCTCCTACTTAGAAAAGTTTGTAAGAATCTTTGAGTTGTGGACAGCAATATATTAGTCCCTATTTTAATAAATGGGGAATACTGAGCCATGGTATAACCTCCTCTTTATGTGTCAGGGCCATCTGTAATATATTTGTATATAATTTTTTACTGCTTTCTAGGATGATGGAGTCACAAATCACTTAGCAGTCAGGTTCTGAAAGATCCTTTAAATCGTATGTAAATTGCCTTTGTAGCTTTCATCTGGTTTACTTTTCTATTCTCAAATCTATTTTAATTCCTTTTCTTCCCTTGGTATAGGTAACTCAGATGATTCACCGTGAGCCAGATAAACGTTTAGAGGCAGAAGATTACTTAAAACAGCAGCGTGGCAATGCCTTTCCTGAAATATTTTACACTTTTCTTCAGCCCTACATGGCCCAGTTTGCCAAGGAAACGTTTCTTTCTGCAGATGAGCGTATTCTGGTTATACGGAAGGATTTGGGCAACATTATTCACAATCTCTGTGGACATGATCTGCCAGAAAAAGCCGAAGGAGAGCCTAAGGAAAATGGGCTGGTTATCTTGGTATCTGTTATAACATCCTGCCTACAGACCCTTAAATACTGTGATTCCAAACTAGCTGCTTTGGAACTGATTCTTCATTTGGCTCCAAGATTAAGTGTTGAAATCCTTTTGGATCGTATTACTCCATATCTTTTGCATTTCAGCAATGACTCTGTTCCTAGGGTGAGGGCTGAAGCCTTGAGGACGTTGACCAAAGTTCTTGCTCTCGTCAAAGAGGTTCCTCGTAATGATATCAATATTTATCCGGAATACATTCTGCCAGGCATAGCCCACTTAGCCCAAGATGATGCTACTATCGTTAGACTAGCCTATGCTGGTAAGAGTTTATTGTCCAAATATTAGCCACTTAGATATTTTTTAAGTTAATGACTATAATACTGCTTGTTTTTCTGATTTGTTTGAGAATTGCAAGTATGAACTTTGCTCTTTGAACTATTTGTGTACATTTTGATAATATTTCTAGTTACTCTGTTCCTGGGAATCAACGTTTGTGTGTTCTCTCACTTTTGAAATGATCAGAATTATCAAGTGATGGAATTTTGTGGTTTTCTTAGGAATACTACATTCGACTTGGAATAAGACTAATGTTTACAAGTATGTGCTTCTGATCTAGTGTCTTTAGGCCTTTATGAAGTTTCTCTGACAAATATGGTTATTTGACTGTCAGTTTTAGCATACAACAATCTATTGCTGCTGAAAAAGATTAATTTTGCTAGATAATTTGATGTTGAAAGAACCTAGCATACTAACTTACTGAAGTTTAAGGTTGTTTTCCCAGTTACTGTACTGTTTAGGATATACATCTTCTTTATGATGAGGTGGGTGTGTTATACACACCTACCTGTTTTGCCTGTCTCACTCAAAATCAGGTGATACAGATTCTTGTTTCTAGCTCCCCAAATTAATTCTGAAAGCTTATTTCTGCATGAGAAATATCACTGAATATATATAATATCACTGAATATATATAATTTATTTCTATAATATAATCTGATAGAAATCAGGGATTCTGTTTTGAAGTCTTTGTAAATAGTACGTGTGTGGTAATGATATTGTCTTTTTTTTTTTTTAAAGAAATGTAGTTCATTCATTTTATGATTTGCTTGTCATTATTTTAATGAAACATGTGAAAAGTGGTCTTTGGACTCTGGTCTTATCTCTAGGCACACCCACAAAGTGATTGGTGATTGTTACGTGTTTTTATGTTTCCTCATACATATATTTTTATTTATGTTTATCTCTGCCTATTTATTTATTTATGGTTTCTATAACCATACAGGTATGAACTTCAGGCCCAGAAATCCAGGATTTCTCTTAAGACACATCAAAGTTTATCATTTATAACAAAGCATAGTTGTAACTCACTTGGCAAATATAAATTAAATAATTGAACCAGATAAAATCAAATCAAATGAAAGTTTATCAGTTTTAAAAACAAGCTCTGTCTTCTTTACCAGAATTTTATGATCCTACTTTTTGGTGCAGTGTATCTTAATCTGTTCTCAATTGTGTTAAACGGGTCATGTTCTGATGAGGTGCCATATTAACATATTGACACTCAGTTACTAATAGCTATCACATAAAAATAATAGCTACTGTTTATTGAAAAATCTGCTCTAGGTTGTTGTAAGGGTTAGCTGCAACAACCTTGAGCGTTAGATGTTATATTACCTTCATATGACAGGTGAGGAAACTGGGGTTAGGAGAGACTAAATAACATGACCCAAATGTATCCGGTCTAATTCTCAGTTCTCAGAGCTCCTGCTCTACACCTTGGTTTTGAAGCAATCCTGCTTTTCTTTGGTCTTCTGGGTCTTTATGGTGAGAGTCCGTGATAACCCAGGGTCAGTGCCAGCACCTTGCATTGTTATTTCTTCAAGGCCCAGTATGTGATCACCCAGGCTGGAATGCAGTGGGGAGATCATGGCTCACTGCAGCTTTGACTTCCCAGGCTCAAGCCATCCTCCAAACGTAGCCTTCCAAGCACTATAGGTGTGTGCCACCACGCCTGGCTAATTTGCGGTCTTTTAAAATAGAGCCAGTGTATTTGAATGTGTATGGTTAAATATAATTAAAATACATGTGTCAGTAATTATAAAAGTTTAAAATCAACATTTGTTTCTTTACAGTATTTTTTAAATATCATAGATGCTGGTACAGATTTGTGTAAAGTGAACTTCCAAGTGTGCTGTGGTTTATGGACTTAAAAGGGGAAATAAGCATAGATCTACTCAGACTTTAGAGGTGCCCAGGAAAGTAAGAGACTTTTCCTAATAAAGATTTGCTCATTAAAGTGGGGATATTCATCTAGAATTTTGACATATTATCAGGATATGGCCCAGAGTTTTTCCATTTTTAGGGCGAGCAGGCGTTATAGGGTATTTACATCTTGCTTACTTAGAGGTAAATTTTTATTCTATTCAGAGCATTGTTGAACCTAGCAGGGGTGGGGAGTGGGACCCAGGATGAAGGGAATAATTGTGTTTGATTGACTCAAAGATCTCAACTGCCATAAGGTACATTTTGATTTCAGAGATGTTGGAAAGCAAGGAAAAAGTAAGGTTATTTTAAGTTTAAGGTAGTTAAACTTTACGTTCAGTGCTATTCACTGCTAAGAAGGAAAAGAGTACAGTCTTTGACCGGTTGTGATCATATGTTAAGAAACACATATGTTAAGTGGGAGGCAAGGTAGGAGAAGAAAGTGTAAGTGAAGAGCAGATACAATTGATAGTAAATGTGACAGCAGAAATTAGAAGTAGTTATTTTGTAGTGGTGAGGAATATCAGACAGTCTTTGTAGGTCATCAGAAAGAGAAAGGAGAAGATATAGACAACTGTAGAAATGTGCAAACAGTCTGCCACTTTGGTTCACTAAGAACTTGAGTATCACTTGTAAAGCAGTCTAACAATGGTTTCTCTTTGAGGCAGTTGTGACTTTTCATTTATATGTGAAGAAACAGTCTCAGATTGCTTAAATGGTCAAGTTAGTAAGTGGCAAGGTTGAGATTTGAACCCAGGTCTTTCTGATGCCAAAGCTTAGCTTTATCTGTTATTTTAATGTGGATGTTTCTTTGTTAGTCTAATAAATATCTCTCACTTGTCAAGGATACTGTTTAAAAGGTAAGTCCCTGCAGAGAATTAGGCTTTTTTTTTTTTTTGGTCCTCAGTAGATGAGGTATTAGATTATTTTTATATTATTATTTTTTTAAGCTGTGTTTCAAAAATAAGACTAGTGGTTTGGAGACAGTTACAGATTATGAGCTGGGTTACTAAAATCTGATTAAGTTAAATGCTAAATTGAAAAGTTCTGTTTTTCCCATAGGCTTATGATTATTTATGTATAAAGACAGGGAGGAAAAGTTAATAAGCTTTACAGAGAGTTAAGATTGTAATTATAAATTTTCTTCCTTTTTATTTTATAGAAAACATAGCTCTGCTGGCAGAAACAGCTCTGAGATTCCTGGAATTAGTACAGTTAAAAAATCTTAATATGGAAAATGACCCCAATAATGAAGAAATAGATGAGGTTACACATCCAAATGGAAATTATGACACAGGTTGTATAATTTTCTCTTCCAGATTTCCTGTTATTTAGAATGAATTGCTGATGCTAACTTGTAAAACTATCATTTGTAGTTTTCATGTAAGGTGAAGGAATACCAGATCTATATATTAGATAGGAAGAGTCCCTGGTGTCTAATTATTCTCTCTATCCTCATATACTGTTATCTTGCTCAAAAATAATCAGCTTGTCACCATGGATACTAAAGTCAATTGTTTGTCAGCCAGAATTGATTTGTGTGAACAGTAAAGCTGGCTGAATTATATAATTCTCATAAAAGAAAAAATTAGAAACATCATAGCTAAAGAAGCTAAACCTTTTCTCCTTACGTGAGTATATTCTGAGTATCCTCAATCATAAATTGTTTTTATTTCATACTATTTGTTATTTACAAAAAACCATAAAGGAACAGATGTGATGATGGTAAACTTATTGATGTCAAAGTCCTTGTCTTAGGTTTCTTTGTGTTATACAACTCTTTACAGATTTTTACTTAATGTTTGTTGAGTAAAAGATTTAGAAGTAAAGTAATAGATGTAATTTTCTCCAAGATGCTTCTAGTTGTGAAAAACTAGAGAAATCTAGTTTTTTAGAATTTTATGCTGCAAACAACTACAATTGTTACTTGTTAGAATGGCACCATTTTTAGACAACATGTATTATCTAGAGTTGAATACAGTGGAATAATTTTGAAGTTATAGGAGGATGTATCAGGAAGTCCTAGCCTTTTTTTATGGAATTACTTGGAAAATAATACTGTCCTATAACCATGTAATTGGACCTGTTGAGATAATAAAGTTAAATGGTAAAATTTTTGGGGAGGGAATCTAAAGTTTTTCTTAATGTGAGCATATAGTTTTGCATGTCAGACCAGTTACCTTTTTCCTTGACAGTAGTAGCTGGACCAAGAGTGGCCCCTGTCTTCTGTTTATTCACAGATAATTGTTAAAGATTAGCTCTGCATCAGGCAATTAGGAGCCTGCCCTAAGCACTAGAGCATGGTGGTGAATACGATAGAAACGATCCTTGCTCTTGAGCTTACATTTTAGTAAAAAGAAGACAGGCAGCTAAGTAAATAAATAAGTGAGAAAAAGTGAGGATGAGGAAGAGAAGAGGTAAGACCAGAGAAGACAGTGGCCAGATGAAGTAAAGCCTTGACAGAACTTGCAGTGTGTTTTCTGGCTTTCTAAAATAAACTGACCTTTAAAAACATTTTCTAAAAGGATTGCTCAGTACCATCATATTATATCCTAATCCTATTCCATTATTTTCAAGTCCTTGATTAACTGGGATCTTACTGGGGCAATGTGATTTCCTTTCTGGTGCTTCTCTATAATTTTCTCCTTGAGCTAATAAATGAAACTATTTGATTAGTGAGATAGTAACTATGTTTGTGGCATCTGCTTGTTAGGATATTCTTCACTTTATATTTCAGTTTCCCATCCTTCAGAGCTTTGAATAATGCAAAAAATTGGTGATTAAAGTCTTCGGTGGATTCTGTAATCAGTCTCTCTGATGAGTAAGAAAGAAGACTGGGACTATCTGTATGGGGAAAAATTGATCTTTTCTTAACTATTTCTTTTCTTTCTTTCTTTCTTTCTTTTTTTTTTTTTTTTAGAGCTCCAAGCCTTACATGAAATGGTCCAGCAGAAAGTTGTTACTTTGCTAAGTGACCCTGAAAATATTGTAAAACAAACCTTGATGGAAAATGGAATAACACGGCTGTGTGTATTCTTTGGACGTCAGAAAGCCAACGATGTTTTGTTGTCCCACATGATTACTTTCCTAAATGATAAGAATGATTGGCATCTACGTGGAGCATTTTTTGATAGTATAGTTGGTATGTTTTTTGCTTTTAAATTCCTTTAAGATTTTTAATCATCCTCTCAAATACTTCCATGCAATCTGAAGGATAGATGATACTACCAAATTTCATTAATAATGAAATGAATTCCTAGTATTTCTGTCTTCATGCTGCTTTTGGATGATGTAAGTATTTTGGCTTGGTTAAAATAAAGGGTTGGTATATCAACCTGTGTTACATCCGTATGAAGGAATACCGTGTGGTCATTAACTATATTTAGACAGAATAATGACCTGGAAAGTACCATGAAGTATGTTAAAGTGACATAAGTAGGTTGTAAATCCTCTTAAAGAATGATTGCTGTAGTGTAAAGGTAACAATAACAGAAATCATATATGTTTATAAACATGTTAATAAAAGTGAACATGCATCACTTTTAGAATCAGAAAATAAGTTAAAATATAATCATGGTTGAAAATCAATGTAGTTGGAAAGAATTAAGTTAAAGGCTTTGTGTAACTGAAAATTTGTGAAAATTTAAGCAGCATTTTTTTTTTGCTGTTCTTTCATTTTACAATTCTTGATTTTTAGATATATCTAAAGTCAGACATCTTGTGTTTTATATGCATGACTTATATTACATTTGTATTCAGAATTAGAAGTAAATGAAGTGGACAGTATTTTGCATGGGTTAAGTCATGTTTGATACAGGATTTAATATTTTTCTCTTTTGAATAATAACTGATCCCCTTTTCCCTGAATGTACTGATCTTTTCAGTTTAAGATTTGGCCAATTATGAAATATATGCTAAATTCATATTATTATGATTATCCACTACCCCCTATTATATCATTTCCCACATAGTTGTAACAGTTTATCTGTTAACCCGAAAAGTTTAAAGACTATTCTGCACAATAGAAAGCTTGGCTGTGTCCAGACTTTCTTGTGAGGCAGCAGAAGCTGTAAGACTTTAAGGGCCGGGCGCCGTGGCTCACGCCTGTAATCCCAGCACTTTGGGAGGCCGAGGCGGGCGGATCACGAGGTTAGGAGATCGAGACCATCCTGGCTAACACGGTGAAACCCCGTCTCTACTAAAAATACAAAAAATCAGCCGGGCGCGGTGGCGGGTGCCTGTACTCGGAGGCGGCGGGAGGGGGGCTGAGGCAGGAGAATGGCGTGAACCCAGGAGGCGGAGCTTGCAGTGAGCTGAGATTGCGCCACTGCAGTCAGGCCTGGGTGAAAGAGCGAGACTCCGTCTCAAAAAAAAAAAAAAGACTTTAAGTTTTGGTTCCCAATAATCTAGGAAAGGTTTGCTGTTTGATTTTTGTTTGCTAAAAAAATAAAATGCAAGAAACCTATGTGGCAACAGGATTGATATTTCTGCAAATGCTATCATATGTTTTGGAGGAAAGGGTACTTTCTACTTTGAAAAACTTTCAAATTCCCGGTTATTTTTGGAAATTACTGTACCTGTTTTTTTCTTTTCAGACATCTTTTGTTTTTTATTTTTGCATTAATTTATAGATGCATCTTAGCCTTCCATCTAGGACTTCATCTAACTCAGTTCCTGAATACAGTATTCTTTGATTCTTACATCTTTTTGTCTTGCTTGCTCTCTTCTTCTTCCAAATAATGTTATATTTATTTCTTTTCTCGGGAAAAGTCGGTTCTTAAAACTTCCCCTATCTATTGGTCAATTCATGTGTTCTTTGAAACACATATTAGTTTGTCTTAATTTAAAAATAAATTTTTTATTTATAAAAAATAAATATGCTTATATTACTTTTGGAAATAAAACTTAGAAAAATTTGGAAAATACGGAAACCAGAAGAAAATAAATGACCATTAATCCTACAACCCATGTACAATGTCTGTTAAAGCTTTGATGTTTTTTCCCATAGCTATTCCTCTTCTCTTTCCATCCCATTTATCCCTTTCTGTCATATGCTGATCGTTAAGAGCAGGCATTGTGGAGCTATACTGTTGGGTTCAGGTGTTCACTTTGTCACTAGTTGTGGTTCTTGGAAAATCATTTAATTTTTTTGTGGCTTAGTTTACCTATCTGTAAAATGGAAATAAGAATAGTGCCTGTCTTACTGGTTGTTGGGGGATAGAATGAATTAATATATGTAATAGTGCCTGGCGTAAGTGCTATGTATATATTATATTACTTCCAAATTTTATTATTTCTTAAACTTTTTCTAATAACATACTTTAAGCATTTTCTCATATCATTAAAAATTTATTTGAAATCATAATTTGATAGGTCTAAACTATTCCTTTATATAGTTTTGCAAAAATTTAACCCTTTTGGATATTTAAATTATTTTCATTTTTTTCTGTCATATATAGATAATCTATATATTTGGTATAAATATGCAACGTATGTATGTAAGTAGTTGTTTCTGATTATTTTCTTAGGATAGAAGTAAAAAAATTTTAATTACTGTGTTAAAGAATGTGAATTTATTTTTAAAACTCATGACACATTTATAAGCTATTCAAAAAGATGATATCATTTTGCATCCCCATCTCCGTTAAGTGCTGCACACCCATCCAGTGTGAAATAGGCTTTACTTAGTCCTTGCCTGTTGGAAGGGTAAAATGATAACTTGTTTTGATATATATTTCTTAGCTTAACTATCAAGTTGAAAAACTTTTTCATGTTGATTATGCATTCATATTTCTAATTCTATGAATTTTAAAATTCATTATTTTGGCTTATTTTTTTCTGATACTTATGCTTTTCTTGTTCTTTTCGAGCCTTTATATACATATTAAGAACATTAATTTTTTAAATCAATTTTAAGCTCACGTTTCTTAGTTCTTTAACTTGATTTTTGAATCTTTTCTGTAGACAGTTTTTCTGAAGTCAGTTTACTCGATCTTTTTGCTTTGTGATTTTTTTTTTTCTACTTTTGTATGTAAAGTCTCTTCCCATTCCAGAATTAGATTAATAATCTGTTGTGTGCTTGTCTTTTTTTCTTTTTCATGCTTTAGTTTTTACACTTAACTGTTTAATTGATCTTTATTTTTGGTCTGTGATGTGGGATGAAAACTAAATTTTCTTTTTCTTCTCAGATATGTAACTGATTTTCCAGCATAATTTATTAAGCATTTTTTTTGTTTTTTTTCTTACTGGTTTGTTTCTTACTGTTTTATCATCTGTTGCATGCTTCTGTCTGTTAAGGTCAGTTTTCTGGCTATCTAGTCTGTTCCATTGATTTTTCTCTTCTTGTACTCATATTCATAGCCATATTCAATTTACATTATTATATATTTTTAATCACCTTTATCATCTGATAGGGTAAGTTTCAGATGTCATTCATTTTCAAAATAGTTTTAGCTATTTTAGCTCATTGTACATTTCAGTTTGTAAAGTTCCTAAATATAATTCACTGGAATTTTAGATAGAATTTTTCCTTTTATTAAAGAAAACAATTATAACATAATTTTTTAATCATAAAGGAAATAGGCTTTTAGAAATTATTTAAAATTTAATCAAAATGTATAATGTATGAAAAACAATAGTTGAAATTTCCAGAGGCAACTACTCAGCTTTCTGCTTTTATTTTAGTGTTTTCAGGTGATTATTACCATATCTCTAAATAATATTTTCATATTACTATTTTTAGAATAACCAACTTTGGACTTTATCTCTTGAATTTTTTTCTGTGCCAGATGAAGATTTAATTCACTCATAACATGCCTTGATCCTTCTTCTCTTTTCAGTTTTTGAGATGTTGACTACTATTTTCTGTGCTTTAGTTTTTGGTTTGTTGTTTTAATAACTTTAAGTAATTAAATCTATTTTGTGTGCTCCACCTCTGATTTGCAGTACAAGATTAGTGCCCCTTTTCTTTCTCTTTACCTGTGTCTCTCTTTTTTATTGTTTGGTTAGTTGAGAATTGAGAATTCTCAACAATTTTTTTGTCATAGTTAATAATACATTCTGTTCTATAACACAATGAAGTCTTTTATGTATAGACTGATTATGAAGCTTCAAAACAAAATACATGATTATGAATGTGTAAATTTTATTGACTGTGGAGCCAAGTAATATACTGTAATTATATTTGCTTCATCACAATCCCAATTCAGTGACTCTCCCCCTCACCATTTGAGTATGTTTATAGCAAGGCCAGTGGATTCTACTTTACTCCCTCTTCTAGTTACTAAATACACTATTTATTTTAATTTCATATTTGGACTGTGATTTTCTTGAGCAATTTCAGGAATTTTAGATTTCTTTGTTTTCCTTTTAGAAAGAAAAGTAATAAATTGTCACCATATCCGTAATAGCTAGCTTCTTTCTTATTAATTTTATTTGTTGCTTAGAATCTATTCCATTTTCTTCTTGATGACATTCTTGAAATTTATTAGCTTTTAATTCTAATCTGGGCTGACTGATTTCTAGGTCTTTGCTAGCTTTTTTTTGCCCTTGAATTCTTAGGTTGAAACTTTCCTAGAAAGGGTTGCATGGGAGGCAAACTTTTAATAGTCCTTACATGTCTTGAAATGACTTTTTTTTTATTTAATTGACAGTTTGACTGAAAATAGAATTCTTTTCATAACTTTTAATGCCTTGCTTGCCTATGTCTTGTCTTCTAACCTCCATTGTTGCTGAAGATTATATAATTACAGTCTGATTCTTCTTCCTTTTTAGGAGACCTATATTTTCATTTCTGTAAGTTCTTAGGATCTTAGCTTTTCTGTGGTGTCCGAGAATTTCCTGATGATTTGCCTTGCTGTGGGTCTTTTTAACTTTATCATGCTGGGTAGGAAGTGCAATGTTCTTTCCTAGGTAATTGATTAATATGTTTGGCTTTTGCTTAATTTTATTGCTTTACTTAATGATATATGTACTTTTAGGTATTGAATAATCACATAATATTGCTTTTCATTTCCAGGTGTTGCTGCCTATGTTGGCTGGCAAAGCTCCTCAATTCTCAAGCCTCTGCTGCAACAAGGTCTTAGTGATGCTGAGGAATTTGTCATTGTGAAAGCTCTTTATGCCCTTACTTGTATGTGCCAGTTAGGACTGCTACAAAAACCCCATGTTTACGAATTTGCCAGTGATATTGGTAAGTTTCTGTTTCTCAAAATTAGAATGAGATTGGAAGAACTTTATAAAATTTCTAGGTAATATAAAGAATTGCAACTTTATTGTTCCTGCTATTGATTGTGTGGGGTTCCTACTATTGATTGTGTGGGTGTGCATGTGTGTATGTGTATGTGTGCATGCTTATATGTATGTGAGAGACAGACAAGCTGACTCATTGGGTCCTCCAGCCTGGTTGGGAAGTACTGCTTTGTTTTCATCTGTTGGTAAGTCTGTGTTACCCTTGTCAAAAAGCAAGACTTTGGTTTTTGTTTTGGCTTTCTTTTTTTTATTTTTAATTTTTTTTTTTTTTTTTTTTTTTTTTTTTTTTTTTGCGACAGTCTCTCACTCTGTCACCCAGGCTGGAGTACAGTGTGTGATCTTGGCTCACTGCAACCTCCACCTCTGTGTTCAAGCCATTCTCCTGCCTCAGCCTCCTGAGTAGCTGGGGTTACAGGCACCTGCCACCATGCCCGGCTAATTTTTTTTTTTTTTTGTATTTTTAGTAGAGACGGGGTTTTACCATGTTGGCCAGGCTGGTCTTGAACTCCTGACCTCATGATCTGCCTGCTCCAGCCTCCCGAAGTGCTGGGATTACAGGCACGAGCCACCGCTCCTGGCCGAGACTTTGTTGTTAAAAAAACCATGATGTGGGTAAAGCCTTGACTGGTCTGAAGATGAAAATTATTTTTGGGCACTTGACTAGCAGTCAAGTTGAAAATTGGATGTGAAGGGTCTGTCACTGCATTGATTACCAGTTAAGAATTCGTAGACTTGAATAATATGTTTATTCTATTATAATTTCACATAATACATTGCTTCTGTGGCCTAATTAGTTATTTCAAAATAATTTTTGGAAATTATTTTTGAAATTTAATATAGCTTGTAATTAGCATTTTATTTATCTACAAAACAGATGCCCATCAATTTTAAAGCAAAAATCATCATGAAAATAGTTTTTTACCCCTGCACTCAAAGTTTGTGGAGATTTTTCTGGACCTTGCTATTTCTAGTCTTTGATCCCAGGATGAATATATGGAGTGCTCATATATCTTTAGTGTCAAAATAAATTATGTTTATATACAGAATAAACCCAGTGTGGTACTACTTCTTCAATGGATAACTCCCTTAGAACTACAACTGAATTTGATATGAAAACTATGGGGAGAAAAAAACACGTTACCAAGAAAAATCAAGTAAACAGTCATTTCTTGGCATTTAAAACTGTTTAAAAGTAAAAAACAATTTTAGTAACTTAGAAACACCTACTTATTTAAAACAAATGATAGACTATATACATCTCTCTCATTCTGTTTTTAAACTATGTGTATTCTGTTGTAGTGATTTTTTTTTCCCCAGCTTTATTGAGGTATAATCAACAAATAAAGATAGTATATTATGTTCAACATGATATTTTGATATATATATATACTTTGTGAAGTAATTATGGCAATCAAGTTAATTGACATATCCATAGTTCTTTTTCTTTAGTGGTAAGAACATTTAAGAGTTACACCCTAGTGATTTTCCAGTATACATTATTATTAATTATAATCACCATGCTGTACTTGCACATACTGTACAAGAACTTATTCATCTTGTCTAACTGAATTTTTGTATCCTTTGACTAACACCTGCCCATTCCACCCTCCCTTCTACCCCAGCCCCTGGTAACCACCATTCTACTCTCTACTTCTAAGAGTTCAACTTTTTTAGATAATATGTATTAGTTCGATCATAACAGTATCTGTCTTTCTGTTTCTGGCTTATTTTACATAGCATAATGTTCTCCAGGTTCATCTGTGTTGTTGCAAATAACAGGATATTTTTATTTTTTAGTGCTGAGTAGTATTTTAGTTGTTATATACACCATTTTTTTTATTCATTCAGTGGACACTTAAATTGATTTCCTATGTCGACTCTTGTGAATAATGCTGCAGTGAACATGGGATTGCAGATATCCCTTCAACATACTAATTTCATTTCCTTTGGATGTATACCCCAAAGAGGGATTGCAAGATCACAGGTAGTTCCATTTTTAATTTTTTTTTTTTTTTTTTGAGACGGAGTCTCGCTCTTTCACCCAGGCTGGACTGCAGTGGCGCCGTCTTGGCTCACTGCAAGCTCCGCCTCCCAGGTTCACGCCATTCTCCTGCCTCAGCCTCCCAAGTAGCTGGGACTACAGGCGCCCGCTACCATGCCCGGCTAATTTTTTTTGTATTTTTAGTAGAGACGGGGTTTCACCGTGTTAGCCAGGATGGTCTCGATCTCCTGACCTCGTGATCCGCCCGCCTCAGCCTCCCAAAGTGCTGGGATTACAGGCGTGAGCCACCGCGCCCGGCCTAATTTTTTTTTTTTAAGACACAGGGTTTTGCTCTGTCACCCAGGCTGGAGTGCAGTGGCATGATCACAGCTTACTGCAGCCTGGATCTCCCTGGCTCAAGCTATCTTCTGGCCTCATCCTCTCGAGTAGCTGGGACCACAAGCATGTGCCACCACGCCTGGCTAGTATTTATTTATTTAGAGACGGAGTTTCACTCTTGTTGCTCTGTGCTGGCTGCCTGGACTTTGGGGAATGTTGACATGGGTTATGTGAAACTACCCTTCCTGCCCTCTTCATTGGGGCTTTTCTCAATTTTGCTATACCCAGGTGCTGTAATCTCTCACCTGGATTCCTTTGTAATGGTGTTTTCATGCATTGATAGTTGTTAAAACAGATTTTTTTCTACAAGAGGATGAATACTGAAATGTCCTATTCAGCCATATTGTTTTCACTGCCTAGTGACTCTTAAAGAGAATGGTGGTGGTGGTTTTGATGGTGATTATGATTTCTTTGTTACTCCTTTTAAAAACTATACTTTTCCCACTTAGCTATTATTAATATTTTCCCCCACATTTGTCTTCTGATAAGTTGAATGTGTTAGACAAAGAAAAGATTGATTGGGAGGCCAAGGCAGGCGGATCACCTGAGGTCAGGAGCTCAAGACCAGCCTGATCAACATGGAGAAACTCCGTCTCTACTAAAAATACAAAATTAGCCAGGCTTGGCAGCGCATGTCTGTAATCCTAGCTACTCGGGAGGCTGGGGTGGGAGAGTTGCTTGAATCCAGGAGGCGGAGGTTGCGATGAGTCGAGATCGTGCCATTGCACTCCAGCCTGGGCAATAAGAGCGAAACTCCGTCTCAAAAAAAAAAGGAAGAAAAGATTGAATATGCTATTTCATAGGCAGTTCTTTAGATTCAGGCTTCTTCTTGTTTTGAGTATTTGAGGTGCTTTGTATCAGGCAGCTACTTAATGATATAATAATGCTGTAGAACAGTCAACCACAGAATCTCAGTAAATCCTTCAGTAAATTTTTCGTCATGCACCTGTGGGTTGTATAGGTGGCCCTGCTTCAGGTTCTGCATCTCCAGGTTGTCTGTGATGACTGTGATTCATCTGTCTCATTCTGGGGCCCTCATTGTAGGGGCAGTAGCTACCCACATCATGTTCTCATGGTGATGGCAGAAGCACGAGAGGGCAAACCCAGCTATATAGCACATTTCAGATTCCTGTTTGTCGTAATATTCATTGGCCAAAGCAAGTGATATAAACCAAAAGAAAGGGGGCAGAGAAGTATCCTTTGTATACTACAGGTGTATACAAAGTGAATGAGTGTGGTTGTGTGATACAGGGAAGTTAAGAATTGGGGTAAATAATTCAGTATAATACAGTTCCCAACTCCTGTCAAACCGTTATGGGTTTAGCTACTTTCTGGAGGTTTACCAATGTTTTTCCAGTCCTCATTTTCCCTCTTATCACAGGGAAAATACCCAGTGTCCCTTGTTGGATGGATCAGAGGCTGCAGGGTATTTATGAAATAAACAAAATCTTCTTCATTTATAATTAGAAGAATTAGAAATGCGAGACCTTGGGAGATAGATATTTTGAACGCATCTTTTCTCCTTCCCCTGTTAATATAAGTATTATTAGCCTATGATTGTATTCCTATTTCTCTATTAATGTGTATTTCTTATATACACTAAATAAATATTAGAAGATAAAGAAATATCCTCTGAATGCTGGTGTGTTTGCATGCTCAGAGCTAATACAATTTTTCTTGCCTTTAAAAGTTTGGATTTTATTCTAAATCAGGTTAGTCTAATGTCGATTAGTTGAAATCATTGATTTTATGTTTAATACATAAAATCGTTAAAAGGTATGAAAAGACATTCATTTAATTTTCTGGTTTAATGTTATATTTTAAACTTTTTAAGAATAGGTATCATGTTTTCAGCCTTTTTGTTTCCATTCATCATTGCCTTGTGAAAGTAACTGTGAGTTATATATTAGATTTGATCAAACTCCTGCATTAAAAAGAATATCAGATAGGCTAGATTGTTCCCTTAATCTTTATGCTGTAGCTTGGAGAAGTAAATTCTCCCCAATTTCTCTGCCCCTTGGGTGGTAGAGGGGATATGTCCTTGAACTTCTGTGGGGGTACAAGTTGGGGAATAATAGTTAGCTATATGCTGTTGGGACTTGTTATGTCTCTAACAGTTTTTAATCCAGTGTTATAAATGAGTAGGTGCCCACACAATTTTACTTCTGACTAAAAAAATATAAATTTTAAGTCCTCAGCTATGAGGTAACTGTTTTTATTCTTTTGTGGTACTGCTGTGATATTTATAATAAGAGAATATTATAATAACAGTGTGTCCACTTGATTGAGTTTATGCTTCAGGGTAATTGAGTATGTGAAGGCTCCTGATAGTAACACTGTGGCAAAATCCTTTTGTCAGTTACGTTATAAGGTAAAAATTTGTTTATCCCGATAGTTTGAAATAACTTATTTGATCCCTACCTTTTCTTTTCCTCTTTAGCCCCCTTCCTGTGTCATCCCAATTTATGGATACGTTATGGTGCCGTGGGATTTATCACAGTGGTAGCTCGTCAAATAAGTACAGCTGATGTCTACTGTAAACTGATGCCTTATCTTGACCCATATATTACCCAACCAATAATACAGGTATACATGTTCCAAGTTGGAGTCAGTCTTTCCTCCAAACTGTGCCTCTTTAAAAAAAATGTTTAGAGAGTCCTATTTTTCTTAACATTTTTTAAGTATTTAAATTGGGCTATAGCATGTTTATATTCCTTTCAAGCTAATTAATGTTAATGAACCAAGCACCTTTGAAGGTCAGAAAAGTGCAAAAGATTATTATGTTTTACATCATGTTATATCTAATGTAGCGTACAGTAGTTCATATATTTTCTTTTGTGTAATATTATAAAGCAACTGTTAAAAGTGAAATATAGTCTAGCAAAAATGTATATTGATGGCCCTCTGCTTTTTATTTTAAAAAGTATAACTGATTGCATCCAGTTATAATAAATTAGAAAAAGTCTTTTTCAAATTTAAGTTTTTCACCGCTAACTGGTTGTTTTGATGTCTTTTCTTTTTTATTCTAACAACCCCACAACCTCTGCTCCACCTTTAGCAGTACTTGGTGATAAACTTTAGGTCTTTGGTTTGTACAGGGCAAATATTATTCACCTAGATTTTCAGTGTTTATACCCTTCATCTTGCTAGACAGCAAATTATCAAGATAGGCATTAAATGGATTGAAATGGCGAAGGACGATTCTAGCTGTTAAAACATCTGAAAGTTCCTATTTTTACCAGAACTCCATTTGGAATTCACACACCTCTCTGGCTTTCTCCCACTTTTGTATTTCAATGTGCCTTCCCTTTGGAGAAAATGGCCTTGGATAAACTCTGGAAACTAGGAAGCTTTGGTTATACCTTCTTTTCTTCATAGATTCATTCATTTCTAGAGGTTATCATTCTATTTCATAGAGTTTGTAGGATTTTTTTTTTATTTTTACCCCAAGAGCAACTTATATATACATGAAAGATGGATAGCACTATCAGAAAAAAATGCCTTTTTAGAAAAGTTTATGCTTCCTTGGAAATTAAATCTAGAGATATCTACTCCTTTTGAATAGTTACTCTATTTAAAAGTTTGCTCATTGAACTTTTTCTTTTGTCATTGTTTCGTATTTTGAAAGGCCAGGATCAGAAGTTGAGAGGCTAATTATTCATTTGCTTCATGAATCTTATTTTTCTACAATTTGGATTAGACAAAAGATATCTTTTTATGCTGGTTTCCACTGGCTGACTTCACCAAGGAGTTAAATATATCTAAAGGAAGTCCTCTTGGTTCTTTTGCTAGAGTCACAGAAAAAAAAAAAGAAAAAAAAGAAGATAATCTTCTTGGTTACTTTTAGCAGTACTCATCCATTTTATTTGCATTGACAAGGAATGTATTCCTTTTGGATAATTAAAGGAAAGATTTTATAAACACTATGGAGATAGCAATGTTTTTTAGAAGTGGTTGAATCTACCACGAAAATGTGATAACTGAAGGAAGACCTGTGGCTGTTGAGCATCTTTTCTGGATCAGTACCTGCTGGTTGTCAGACCTGTGAACTGCACATACTTTTTAGATCTAGGACGTTGTCTGACATATTGGGATCTAGAAAAGGCTCTTTTTGTTTTCTAAAATTTCCTGGGTTGGATGATTAGTCTTCCAATGACAGACACACGTGTGGTCTAGCGCTACAATGAAAAGTAAGAGATACCTTAGCTCTTTAAATTTTACTAGTATTCTTTTTTCTTCTACACACTTACAGATGTTGATATCTTATTTTCTTAGAAAATGAATATGTTAACTTTTCTCAAGTTGTATTTATTGAATTTGAAAATAACTGTACATGTTATATTTTTGGCTGATCCTTTTTATTTTTCCAATATAGATTGAAAGAAAACTTGTTCTGCTCAGTGTTTTAAAGGAACCAGTAAGTCGTTCTATATTTGATTATGCTTTGAGGTCTAAAGATATTACTAGCTTGTTCAGACATCTTCACATGCGTCAGAAGAAACGAAATGGTTCTCTTCCCGACTGCCCTCCGCCAGAGGATCCTGCCATAGCACAGCTTCTGAAGAAGTTGCTCTCACAGGTTGTATCACCCTTCCAAAGTCTTACATTTAAATGCGAATTTCATAAAAATATTGAAGTGTCCATTTAGTTTTTTAAAATGTTTTTGATTGATTAGATTACATCATAAAAATGAGTAAGTAAATCTGGCAAACATCTTAGGCATTTGCTTTTGATTCCTAAACAAAGATAATAATAAGATGATGATAAGGTATCAGGTTAAGCTAAATAAGGAATCATGGGAGACCTCTTAAGTTTCTTTTGTAATTACTGGCTAAATAAATGAGGGAAAGACAGTAGAAACAACCTTAGATTTAATTAGTAGTCTTGATTCAGTTCTATGTTTTACCAAAAATGTAATGAAATTTAGCTGGAAGAAACATTGCAAAACACAGATGCAATATAGAAAAATCCTGGTTCATTTCGATCCAAATTTGTAATTAATACTTGTAAACAGCTGAAATAACTTGTATTTAGAATGCATCTTAGGTTTAATAGACCAGCAGTTTACTGGTATATCTTAAAAGCCTATGAATTTGAATCAATTAACAAAATCTTACTACACTTGGCATTGGTAATGCCTCTTTAGAAATATGAATTGTATTCATGACAAAAAGGCCAAAAGCAATTGCAACAAAGGCCAGAATTGACAAATGGATCTAATTAAAGAGGTCTGCACAGCAAAAGAAACCATCATCAGAGTGAACAGGCAGCCTACAGAATGGGAGAAAATTTTTGAAATCTACCCATCTGACAAAGATCTAATATCCAGAATTTACAAGGAACTTAAACATATTTACAAGAAAAAAAAATCCCATCAAAAAGTGGGCAAAGGATATGAATAGACACTTTTCAAAAAAAGACATTTCCATAGCCAACAAACATATGAAAAAAAGCTTAACATCACTCATGATCAGAGAAATGCAAATCAAAACCACAATGAGACACCATCTCATGCCAGTCAGAATGGCAGTTATTAAAAAGTCAGGAAACAGGCCGGGTGCCGTGGTTCAGGCCTATAAACCCAGCACTTTGGGAGGCCGAGGTGGGTGGGTCACCCGAGGTCAGGAATTCCAGACCAGACTGGCCAACATGGTGAAACCCCATCTCTACTAAAAATACAAAAATTAGCCGGACATAGTGTTGTGTGCCTGTAATCCCAGCTACTCGGGAGGCTGAGGCAGGAGAATCGCTTGAACCTGGGAGGCAGAGGTTGCAGTGAGCAAAGATCGCACCGCTGCACTCCAGCCTGGGTGACAGTGAGACTCTGTCTCCAAAAAAAAAAAAAAAAAAAAAGTCGGGAAAAAATAGATCCTGGGGAGGCTGTGGAGAAATAGGAATACTTTTACACTGTCAGTGGGAGTGTAAATTAGTTCAACTGTTGTGGAAGACAGTATGGTGATTCCTCAAGGGTCTAGAACCAGAAATACCATTTGACCCAGCAATCCCGTTACTGGACATATACCCAAAGGAATATAAATCATTCTACTATAAAGACACATGCACATATATGTTTATTGTAGCACTATTTACAATAGCAAAGACATGGAACCAACCCAAATGCCCATCAATGATAGACTGGATGAGAAAATGTGGTACATATACACCATGGAACACTATGCAGCCATAAAAAGGAATGAGAGCATGTCCTTTGCAGGGACATGGATGAAACTGGAAGCCATCATCCTCAGCAAACACAGGAACAGAAAACCAAACACTGCATGTTCTCATTCATAAGTGGGAGCCGAACAGTGAGAACACATGAACATAGGGGGAAACGACACAAACCAGTGCCTGTTGAGGGGTGGGGGGTGAGGGGAGGGAACTTAGAGGATGGGTCAGTAGGTGAAGCAAACCACCATAGCACACGTATATCCATGTAACAAACCTGCACATTCTGCACATGTATCCTGTTTTGCTTTTTAAAGAAAAAACTAATTAAAAAATAAATACATGAAGTCTAGGCCAGGCATGTTGGCTCATGCCTGTAATCCCACCTTGGGAAGCCAAGAAAAAAAGAAATGTTAAATCTAAATGTACATCTTGTTTTATGAGGGGTATGTGGAACTTAGGGAAGCCAAGATAGGAATAAAAATGGTTAAAAATAAAGAATACAGTCGCTGAATATATGCTCTATGAGCCATAATGCAAATTTTAAAAATTTAATTTGATGTGACTTGAATTCCTGGAGAGCTTTTTCTTTGGGTTTTCTTTTAACCTTGGCTTGTACGTTAGATATGTTTTGTATTTTAGAAAGCAATTTGTGGAAAATTGGATTCTGAATCACATTTTTCTGTTGTTTCTCCTGAGTAAGTAATCCTTATCAAAGAGATTTCAATGTGCAGTAAAAATCATCTCAATCTAAGTGTTTCTTCAGCCTTGGCCGTTGTGACTATTTCTGTCTCCCCTACCTATCCTGTATATTAATTTAAAAACCTTCATCCCAGGCCCGGCGCGGTGGCTCATGCCTGTAATCTCAGCACTTTGGGAGGCTGAGGCGGGCAGATCACAAGGTCAGGAGTTTGAGACCAGCCTAGCTGACATGGTGAAACGCTGTCTCTACTAAAAATCCAAAAAATTGGCTGGGCATGGTGGTGGGCACCTGTGGTCCCAGTTACTTGGGAGGCTGAGGCAGGGAAATCGCTTGAACCTGGGAGGCAGAGGTCGCATTGAGCTGAGATCGCGCCATTGCACTCCAACCTGGGTGACAGAGCAAGACTCTATCTCAAGAAAAAACAAAACAAACCTTAATCTTGACATTTTCTTTTCCTTATCAGTCATTAGTTACCTCATGGGGCCACCCTAGCCCCTCATCTCTTCTTTTTACCTTGCTAAGGTATAGGTTTTGACACTGCCATGGGTAAAAGGAAGGAGTGGGAAGGAACAGTTTCCATAGCCTTTCTACTTCCTGCTTCCTACGGTTCTTGTAATCCCTTCTACCACTACTGCTCCTTCAATGCCAGCCCCCGTTACTGGGTGCCATGATAAAAATCACTAAAACTCCCTGACCCGTATTCCTCTGAAATGTTAGTGCTTCGTATATTCATTGGTCTGTCAGTGATCCCCTCATTTGTCTGAGTGGAAAAAGAGGAACAAATAATCCCCCATTTTATGTTATTTCTGGTGCCAGTGGCTTTAGGAGACTCCTAAAGGTTAGGGGACAATCCTCTGTTCAAGAGATAAGCACTGCTAGTAGAAGGGAGAGCAGGCCAGAAACTCTGAGGTTCTTACCAGAAATAACAGCAGAACAACACCAGCTTCCGGTTTTTTGAAAGCCAGCAATGACTTTACCAGAGCAGTTTGTGATTTCCATATTTTTGACTATCCTTAAAACAAATTTGAGCAACAGGTGTTATTCCTATTTTATAGATAAGGGAATGGAGACACAAGGAAGGTAGTTAACTTGCTTATGTTCATATAGTGCAGTAAGTTTCAGAGTTGGCATTTGAATCTAAACCTATCTGATTCCAAAGCCTACACTCCTACACTGTGCTGTGTGGCCTCTAAAGTAAAATAAACAGAGGACAGAGAGCTAAGACCCAGAAGCTGGCTTGGGTTTTATACAGACTTAGGGAGAAGCCCATGTGCAGTTTATCTGCTCCAGCCCCTTACAAGCCTTTTCTCTACCTTCACTTCTTTTTGGTCCCTGTGCTACCTGAGTTTCTTAGGATTACTAGTAGAGACTTGGATCCAGGGGAGGCTTTGGAGATAGGAATTGAGTCCTTGTTTCTTTTTTTTTTTCTTTTTTTAATTGAGATGGAGTTTGTTGTTGCCCAGGCTAGAATGCAATGGTGTGATCTCGGCTCACCACAACCTCCGCCTCCCGGTTTCAAGCGATTCTTCTGTCTCAGCCCCCTGAGTAGCTGGTATTACCGGCATGCACCACCAGGCCTGGCTACTTTTGTATTTTTAGTAGAGACGGGGTTTCTCCATGTTGGTCAGGCTGGTCATGAACTCCCAACCTCAGGTGATCCGCCCGCCTTGGCCTCCCAAAGTGCTGAGATTACAAGCGTGAGCCACCTCGCCCGGCGAGTCCTTGTTTCTAATGTCAGGGCTACAGAGCGAAGGACCATATTTTTAGCTTCTGCAAGCAGGCAATATGAACACTTCTACATAATTTTTTTTTTTTAGCTTAGAGTTCTTCAGTGCTCTTCTATACGGGACTGTACTTGAGACACATCATGGGTAAAGTAGGCCTTTCTAGACCAGCGTAGCATTGTTTCTATGGGAAAATATGTTAGTAGTTCCAGTTAATAGACTTAACATACACTTTTGGAACGTTACCCATATGGGAGTTGGAATCTGTACTCCAGATTTTCAGTAGAACTTAAATCAGGAGATGACTCATGGAAGGGCTGTTTTCATTAGATCCATCTACAATAGCTCCCTGTTTTATTTGTATCCATTTAATCAGGTGCTAATAAATAATACAAAATGATTTCACTCCTTTAAAAAATGAGTTACATTTTTAATGATTTTTTATTTTTGCACTTTTTGACAGATTAGTATAAATACAGGTTTAAAATTCAAAAGCTATAAGAAGATATATAATGCAATGTTAAGATTTTATCTAATCCCTGCCCTCCGGCCAGGGAGTTTCTTTCTCTGTGGATTGTGAATTTTATGTTGGGTGTTGAATTGCTTTGCAGTGTTGGACTTGTTCTGCTGTGCAGTTACTTGGAATCAGTTTCATCCTTTTAAGCTTTGCTTTTAAGCTTTGTTAAGATAGGTTTAGGATAGGTCCAGACCAACCCTTAATTGGTCACTTTAGTCCCACTACTAAGAACTCAGAACATGATGCTTTGTGTATATTAAGAGGTCTTGCACTGTTCCCAACCTTGTGTTGTTCTTTCTATGGCCTCAGGTGGTTTCCTTATGCATACATAGTTTCATATTCAGCCAAAGACTTGAGGAGACCCTTCTGTAGCCCTCTGAAGCTCTCATTCTGTGCAGATCCTCCTTCATTTCTCTGCTCCACAGAGTTAGCCTTTGTAACTTTCTTGAACTCTGATGTGTCTCTTGAAATCAGCTCTGTTTTACTCTATGTTCCTTCTGCCATAGCCTGGCAACTCTCTCTAGACAGTATTGCTGGGACAGTCATAGGACTCAGTTTTAAATATTTTAGGCATTGTAGCCCTGTCTGCCTGTTTTCCCATGCCTGAAAAGTGTGTGTCTGTGTGTGTGTGCGTGCGTGTGTGTGTGTGTGTTTTGTACAGTTTGAAGTTGTTTAAAGTGGAAGGGTAAAACTAGTCTGGTCCCTGTTATTTCATCATGGTCAGAAGCTGAAGTTTGTGGGTATGTTTATGGACTTAACACTAGTACTGCACTTTCTTAGTTACCATAACTTAGGCTTGATCTTTGGTAGAAAAAAACATCTCCCAGCTTGTTTTTTTTTTTTTCTTTCCTTTTCAAGATATTCTTGGCTATCCTTGGTTCTTAACATTTTTTTTTCTTTTTCAAGAGTTTCTTGGCTATCCTTGATTCTTACACATTTTCCATTTTCCAAGTGATTTTTTTCAAGTCAGCTTGTCACTTTATGCAATAAAAATTTACTGATGTATTGATTGAGATTGCATTGAACCTATAGAAGTCAGCTTGTCACTTTTGATTATTTTGAGTGCTATTACAATTGGCATATTAAAACATTATTTTGTTTGTAGCTGGTATATGGAACAATTTTTATATTTCCTTTTATCTGGCAACCTCATAAAATTTATTAATTATAATAATTTGCTAAACATTTTCTTTTGAACTTGTACATTCACAGTTGTATCATGTGTGAACAGTGACTATTTTATTCATTTTTTTCCAATCTGAATACCTTTGTTTTCCTTGCCTTATTTAAATGACTAGGATATTTAGTATAGTATTAAAGGGAGTTGGTGTGAGTGGGCATCCTTGTTTCTCATATCAGAGGGAAAACTCTCGACATTATACCATTCAATGTGATTTTTGCTATTAATTTTTTTTGTACAATCTTTTGAACAGATTAAGGAAATCCTCTTTCTGGAGCTAAGATGATTATTGGAAGAATGTTAAATTTTATCAAATGTCTTTTATCGAGATTATTATATGGTTTTTCTGTTCTGTTAATGTGTTGAAATATGTTGATTGATTTTTCATATTTTAAACTTGCTTTATTCCCTGGATATTTGAAATAAACACAGCTTTGTCATATTGTATCTATATATAAATGTAGTTTTAGAAAATAAATACAATATAAATATATAAAATGTTTTTATATATACTGGATTTGGTTTGCTCACTTTAGTGGATATTTTTTCATTTGCGTTTATGAACAACCTTATCCTATAGTTTTCCTTTCTTGTAATGTTCTTGTCAATTTGTTTTTTCATGGTGCAGTGCTAACATTTTTTGTTTTTTATTGAGATACAATTCACTACCATAAAATTCACTCTTAAAGTGTACAACTTGCTGGTTTTTAATACATTTGCAGAGTTGTGCAAACATCACCACTGTTAAATTCCAGAACATTTTCGTCACCCTGAAAAGAAACCCTGTATCCATTAGCAGTTATTTTCTTTCCCTTAGCCCCTGGCAATCACTAATCTGCTTTCTGTCTCTATGGATTTGCTTAATCTGGACATTTCATATTGATGGAATCATGCAATATGTGGCCTTCTGTGTCTGGCTTCTTTCACTGATCTTAATGTTTTTAAGGTCCCCCTATGTTGTAGCATGTATCAGTATTTCATTACTATTTATAGCCCTTACTGTGGCCCTCCCTTTTGTGGACTAAAACATAGACTAACAAAAAGAGAGCTCTTACTTTAGCTATAAGGTAGCTATTGTCTATTTAAAGCGAATTTTAGGAGGAGACATGAAAATAAACCAAGTATTGCAAGTTAACACTGGGATTTAGTCAAGAATATGTCTATTATTATTGTACTTTAATGCAATTTTATTTCATGTTTTTTAGCTTTGTGCCCTCCTAGGGTTGGTTTTATCATAGTCTGCCTGAGAATTGTGAATATGACTCTAAACTCTAGTGGGATTCTAGATTGAGGCCTCAGGAGAACTGATATTTTATTAAATGAATGTTTTTTATTCCTTTACATGATGAAAATGTACTAGAGGATTCTGTGGATGGTTGGGAAGAAAGACACTCAGAGCTGCCACATTTACCAGAATATTTAAGTTGCCAAGGAATTAATTATTTAGATTGATTACTTAGTATTTGTCCGTTTCAAGTGCACTATTTTAGGTGGATTAACATGTAAATTTCACTATAATCTGATAAGATGGGTGCCAGTAATTATCTTTATAGCTAAATAGAGGTGCACAGATACAGTAAGTAGTAATTAGGGCTGGAATTTGAACCTAGGCAGTCTGACTTCAGCCATTATCCTAGATTGCTACTGGGTTTGTTGCTCACATTTGCAGTTGAGGCAGCATTCCAATCAATCCCTTAGTTGCATGGTATATTTTATATATCGTAGAATGCCTTTACATACTCATTCAATATAAATTTCTCAACACAACCAGGAGCAAAGTTGAAGTAGGTACACTTTCTTTTGCTTAATATTGTACATTCAGAGTTTTGTTCACATAATAAATATTTATTCAACAGTTGTATTTTAAATACTACTAGATATCACACATTGTGTTCTTTGGAAATTCCAAAGATGAGTTATGTGTGAATACTGTCCTTTAGGAAGAAAGTTAAGATATAAATCATGATACAAATTACAAAGTGCCCTAATAGAGTGTTCTGGGAGATCTTAGTCGTGACATGTCATTCTGTATTGTTAACTTTATTTTTCACTTGGACTTGGTTGTTTCACCCTTCTGTCTCTTTTCAGTTTTAAATTGGGTGATTTGTCCCTTCAGTTGTTAGTCATTCTGAGGCTTGTTTTTATTATTTGTGAAAATAAACTAGAACATATGGTTTTATTTGGTTTTAGGGAATGACAGAGGAAGAGGAAGACAAACTTCTGGCACTGAAAGACTTCATGATGAAATCTAATAAAGCAAAGGCCAATATAGTGGACCAGAGCCATCTTCATGATAGTAGTCAGAAAGGTGTAATTGACTTGGCAGCTTTAGGCATAACTGGGAGACAAGTTGATCTTGTTAAAACCAAACAAGAACCAGATGACAAACGGGGTTAGTATGCTTGTTTGTGTGTGTGTAGCTTGTTGTTGTTAGTTATTTCATAAGACTGTTTTTTAGCTAATTAATAATAAAATAAAAAGCCCCATTTCACAGATAAAGAACTTACAAATACAGTGACTCCATTACTTAGCAGGGAGATTTTGGGGAAGAAAAATAGGGAAGCGAACTAACAGTTAAGGAAGTAACTTGCCAGAATCACAGCTCTGTATGTGACAAACCAAGGTCTGATTCCAAAGCTCTACTTTTACAGTAAAATCACGTTGTCACCATGGAGGTGTATGATTGAAGATGAAATTCTGTTTTTTAACCCTTTAACCAGCAACCCAAGAACAATAGTTTGTGTAAAATGGTATCAAGTTTTCTAGTTCATTAGTAGTAGGTAATGCCCAGTGAATTAAAAAGAAAGGTCTTGCTATTAACAATGAAATACAAGAGTAGAGACCAGACAAGACTTAACCATTTGTAGTCTTGAGATCTGAAACTGTGAGCTCTTGTGACATTGACATTGATTATATGAAGTTTTTTAAGATCCTGTGCATACCCTTTTTGCACATATATTCACTGCCAGTTACATGCCTTTAAAATTTCCTCTATTCTAGCATTAGATTTTGAAGGCAGCTAATGAATTACATTTAAAATAAACTTCTAATTGCCAAATTTGAGAAAAAGTATTTGTAACTTAAGTTTTAATGGTTTATATCCATAATATATAAAACATACAAATTAATAAGAAAGCAAGCCAAAAAAAGAAAGATTGAAGGATATGAACAGACAACTGATAGAATAGAATGCATATATATGAAAAGGTAAATAGTTTAATAAATGCAAATTAAAACATGCTATTTTCTTACTATTCACTAGATATAGTGGTTACTTGAAATTGAGCTGGCTTTGGGAAACTAGGAAGTAATTAGGTCTTATTATTAACATCATTGGAAGCACATATGTTCCATCTGCCCTAGAAATGAAGTGAGAGTTAATGAATTGATACATGAATATGAATAAATTAGAAATCTTAAGGAACAAATAGAATATGAAGTGTATTGCTATCCCTGCCTCCTCTACTGTCCCCTCCAAAGGCAATAAAAGCACATAATGGTTTTAAAGGCTACCTTCAGACTAACTATTCTGAATATATTTTCATAGCCAGAAAACATGTAAAACAAGACTCAAATGTAAATGAAGAATGGAAAAGCATGTTTGGGTCACTGGACCCACCAAACATGCCACAGGCCCTACCTAAAGGGAGTGATCAGGAGGTGATTCAGACTGGGAAACCTCCTCGTTCCGAGTCCTCTGCTGGCATTTGTGTCCCTTTGTCAACTTCTTCACAGGTACTGTGTCACCCAGTCAGTAGTCCTCCTAATGTCTTTGAACGCTCTTCTGCTATTTTGGTTGTTTAAAGGCTGTGTACTGTAGTGGAAAAATCAATATGGTGACTTGTCTTTTAGGGAGGTCATATTTCTTTCTAAGACAGGTTTATCTTTAATTTTATGGTGAGGAGGAAATCTAGTTATTGAAAGTACTAAAAAGATCTCATTTTAGAGTACTTGGCAATACAGTGATCTGAGATTGTGGGTTGAAGACATTATTATGAACTGTGATTATAATTAGGCTGCAGTGAACCTTTTAAATCTTTTTTATTCCTCCTCCAGTATAACATAGCCATATCTATAAAATAGCAAAAATACTTCTGGGAAGAAGTCCCAAATTTCCTACGTGTGATAAATGTCATGATGCTTTTTATGTACAGATCATTCCTGACTTAACAATGGTTAGACTTAGGATTTTGTGAGTTTATATGGTGTGAAAGTGATATTCATTCATTAGAAACTGTACTTCCGGTACCCATATAGCCATCCCATTTTTCATGTTCACTACAGATTTCAGTAAGTTACATGAGATATTCAACACTTTATTATAAAATAGGCTTTGTGTTAGATAATTTGCCCAACTGTTGGCTAATGTAAGGTTCTGAGCATGTTTAAGGTAGGCTAGGCTAAGCTGTGATGTTCAGTAGTTGGGTGTATTAAATGCATTTTTGACTTAATGATATTTTCAACTTATGATCTGCTTTTTGGGATGTAATGCCATTGTAAGTCGAGGAGCATCTGTATTTGAAATAAGTTTGTAATTTAAGGCAGCTCTTTCCTAGTCAGTCATATCTTAAATAAAAAACATTAATTGAACCAGATTAATTGAATTGAAATTCCATTTCTTCTTTTCACTTAATGATAATTTTTGTTTAATGTTATTTTCATGCTGATCAGTTTTTTTATATATAAAATGTAGGATTTATATAAAAAATGGAAATGTAGCATTTGTGGTTATACTTCATTTTAACTGGGTTTTCACTAAAAAATGTAATTGTAATTATATCGATTTTAAAATTGGTACATTAATGAGGACAAAAAGCTGTTATAATTTATAGATAAAAACATGCATACACTTCTGTCTTCAAATATACTTTGCTTACGACGTAAATAGTTAGAATTCTATTTGTTTTGTAGGTTCCAGAAGTGACAACTGTCCAAAATAAAAAACCAGTAATACCGGTTTTAAGTAGTACAATCTTACCATCCACCTATCAGATTCGAATTACAACTTGTAAAACTGAACTTCAGCAACTCATCCAGCAAAAGCGGGAGCAGTGCAATGCTGAGAGAATAGCTAAGCAGATGATGGAAAATGCTGAATGGGAGAGTAAACCACCACCACCTGGTAAAAGTTCCGTTGATAAGTAGTTGTAGTCTAGTCTAGGTGCTTAAGGCTAGAATCTAATAGAGGAAATGAATACTTAACTACCAGACAAAAGAGGTAAGAACAAAAATGTTATTTGGGAAACCCAGAAGAAGAAGCAGTAAGTAAGAAATCTTGTCATTATTTGTGGAGTTGGATCTTTTTACAACTGGCAAAGTCATGTTTAGGCCAATCATGTAATAATTTAGCCTATCTGTGCTTCATTTTCCCCATTTATAGTACTAGGTTTTGCCTGTTTAATGCCTTGCCACTTTTTCACTTGAATGTCTGGCTTCTTTGACCAAATTCCTGCTTTTAATTTCTGGAAGGTTTAACATACTTTCATTAATATTATTTAAGAAAAAGTTAGAAAATTTAGAAAATGATGAGTACTTTTTTTAAAAAGAAAACAGGCTGGTTGTGGTGGCTCATGCCTGTAATCCCAGCACTTTGGGAGGCTGAGGTGGACGGATCACTTGAGGTCAGGAGTTCGAGACCAGCTTGGTTAACATGGTGACACCCCATCTCTATGAAAAATATAAAAATTAGCCAGGTGTGGTGGCACACGCCTGTGATCCCAGCTACTCCGGAGGCTAAGGCAAGAGAATTGCTTGAACCTGGGAGGTAGAGGTTGCAGTGAGCTGAGATTATATCACTGCATTCCAGCCTGGGCGACAGAGCAAGACTCTGTCTCAAAAAAATAAATAAATAATAAAGTAAATAAATAAAAAGAAAACAACATCACCTCTAACCCTACGCCTTAACGATGATCAACATTAAAATTTTGAGGAAACAGTTCCATATTCTGTTAAGACTTAAAAGCAATTTAGAGATACTTCAAATGAAAATCTGACTCAACTATCTTAACAGACTTGCCTAGTGTAATGTAGCAGAGTTAGTCTTTGATACTAGATTTGTAGGTTTAAAAATATTTTTTGAGTTTCTGTCTACATTTTAATGATAAAAATTGAAATTGAGAAGATGCATAGTGTGCTTATATATAGATATTTACAAATCATGTGAATTCCTATGGGCTACTGATGTGGACTTGGGGAAAATGCTGGTAAAGGTCAATGATTTAAAGATTTAGAAAGTATAATTAAGTGGCAAGTGGCATCATTAGTTGCATAAATTTTCTTATCAAAATAAATATTTTGGAATTGTTTAATGTTCAAACGGTTTTTGTGATATACCAGCACAACTTTAAAAACAGTGAAAAGTTGATCATAAACTGCTGTATTTTATGATAGAATCTGTCTTTGTAAGTGGTGTATTATACTTAGAGTAACGTATTTTATTTAATAAATCACAGAAAAGATGTCAAATTTTGTAGTTCAGGGATTTCAGAGGTAGCAGGTACCCCTGTGCCTTCATTTTCAGGTAACTGCTGTGCCTTCTCAGATCCTGGAGAAGGGCCCCAGGGGCTGCCTTTCTGAAGCTATTTAAGCAACACTTAATTGCCAAATTGATGTCTCAGTAAATAATATCTGTCATGGTCCAGTAGACCACTCTTTATTGGCAACTATTGGTACTTTCAAATATTTTAGTTCTTATGATTGTTTTCAAGCTGGTTGTTGGTTATTATAACAGGGGATGATGGGGACATTGTATTTGTAAACTACAGTTTATGATACACTCCTTTGCTTTTCCTTAGGATGGCGTCCTAAAGGGCTGTTAGTTGCCCATCTTCATGAGCATAAATCTGCTGTGAATCGAATTAGAGTCTCTGATGAACACTCACTTTTTGCAACATGTTCAAATGATGGCACAGTGAAAATCTGGAACAGTCAAAAGATGGAGGGGAAGACCACCACTACCAGGTACCATATGCTCAGGAATGAATCAGTTCATTAATTCAAATCAACAAATGTTTATTGAGTGTTTACTCTATAATAACCACTGTTTTGGGTACCAGGCATACAGCAACAATAAATGGACAAAAATCCTTCTTCTGTGGAGTTTACCTTCTAGTGGAAAGTGAGAGACAATGAAAGTATAAGTAAAACAGCTAATGTGTTAGATGGTTAAAAAAAATTGTGGTAAAAAATACAGCAGGAAAGGAAGCTAGGAAATGCAGTAGAGGTGGGGTAGGGTAGAATTTTAAATAAATTAACCAGAGAATGCCTCACAGGGAAAATGACATTTGAGGAAGGACTTGAAAAAAGTGAGAGAAAGCCATATGGATATCTTGTGGAAAAACATTCCAGGCAGAGGAAACAGGCATTTCAAAGGCCCTGAGGAAGAAACATGTTTGGCATGGTTGAGGAACAGCAGAAAGGTCTTTGTGGCTGGAGCAAAGTGAGCGAGGTGGAGGAGTAAGAGGGGCCAGTTAGATATGGCTTTGTAGGCTGTTGTAAAGGACTTTGACCTTGACTCTGAGTGAGGTGGGGAGCCTTTGAAGAGTTCCGAGTAGAGGAGAGATGTCATCTGAGTTAGTTGTCAACAGAATTACTCTGGCTGTTATGTTGAGAATAGACTGAAGAGGAGCAGGGCAGAAGCAGTTAGAAGACTATTAAATAATCAGGCAAGAGCTGGTCGCTTGGTAGCAGTATGAGGTGGTGGGAAATGATCAGATCCTGGATATAACAAGATTTGCTGAATGAATGGATTAGATGGAATATGATCATGAAAAAAGTAAAAAAATTATAGAATGGCTAACTGTGTAAGGAAAACAAATAGTGTACCATTGCCACACTCCTGCGGACAAGAAGGATATAATTTATGACTTCAAATCCCTAAGACTTTAAATATGCATGATGTGATTTTAATAAATGTGATTATGATAAATATTTTAGATTTGTACAACTTTATAAGTATGTCCCTATCTGATTTGCAGTTTGTCCTCCCTCTCTTTCTTTCTTTCTCTGTATTGGTTCTACCATATTCTTATTTGTTCTTTGCCTAGTTTGGTCTGAAAAGAAAGCTGCTAGAAATCAGAATTGAATCTCATCTGTGTAAACAGATGTGGAGAATCTCTGGTGCTTTTCTTGTTATAAGTTCATTGACCATAATTAGCCACAAAATCATCAAACAACAAAATATCTTTGATAACTAAAATAATTTAAAAATTTACTTAAGATTTTGTGCCGATTAGCTCTATATTTTTACACCATTCTTAATTATTGTATTTTTCCTCATTCTCTGTTTGTGTTGTATTGGTCAGAACATAATTTAAAAAGAAGTAAAGACTCCTAGGTCCGTGGAGCAATTTTTTTTTGGTCAACATTTTACTATAAAATATTCAAATATGCAAGCAAAGTTGAAAGTGTTTCACAGTGAACATCCATGTACTTGCCACCTAGATTTGTAATGATTTTACTATATTTGCTCTGTTTTATAACTATTCATTTTTCTGCCTCCCATCAATCTATTGTTTAAAATTTTTATTTTTATTTTATTTCTTAGAGACAGGGTCTCTTTTTGCCCAGGCTGGAGTGCAGTGGCCTGATCATAGCTCACTGTAACCTTGCACTCCTGGGTTTCAAGCAATCCTCCCGCCTCAGCCTCTCAGGTAACTAGGACTACAGGCGCATGCCACCACACCCAGCTAATTAAAAAAATTTTTTTTTTTACTTGAGAAATGGGGTCTCGCCACATTGCCCAGGCTGGTCTTGAACTCCTGACTTCAAGTGATCCTACCCTCTCAAGTCTCCCAAAATGCTGGGATACAAGTGTGAGCTACTACCTGGCCCCATTTTTTTTTAATGATTTCAAAATAAGATACAGACATCAGTATGTGCCCTCTAAAAAGTTCAGCATGCGCATCATTAACAGGATTTCAATATTTATAGCTCTTTTTTCTTCTTGATATAAAATTTGTATGCTATGAAGTACACAGATCTTAAATGAACCATTCCATGAGTTCTGACAAATAATACCACTGTATCCTGAATCCCTCTCAAGATGCAAAATTTGACCATCATACCAGGAGGTTCCCTTCTATTCCTTTCTTTTAAATCCCTGCTCTTTCCTTCCCCTGCTACTACCATTCTTTTGATTTTTTCCTAACCATTCTTAGCCTTTTTTTTTTTTTGAGACAGTCTCGCTCTGTTGCCCAGGATGGAGTACAGTGGCACGATCCTGGCTCACTGCAACCACCGCCTCCTGGGTTCAAGTGATTCTCCTGCCTCAGCCTCCAAAGTAGCTGGGACTACAGGCGTGTGCCACCACATCTGGCTAATTTTTGTCTTTTTAGCAGAGAGGGGTTTTGCCATTGTTGGCCAGGTTGGTCTTGAACTCCTGACCTCAAGTGATCCGCCCGCCTCAGCCTCCCAAAGTGCTGAGTTTACGGGTGTGAGCCACCGCACCCAGCCCATTCTTAGCATTTTAATTAGCATTTTAAGTACCTCTTCAGATAATTGTTTTCCAAGTGGTTCTTTGTTATTATCAGTTGGATTCATTGTCCCCTTTATTAGGATGGTAAATTGCAAAAACCCTGCTTGTTAGTTCTCAAGTGATTTTTATTACAGTCATACCTTCTGTATCCCAGTGTCATGCTTTAGACAGTGGTATTTTGGTATCACATTTCAGATAATATCCCCCAAATTTTGGTAATTTAGCTGACTTTATAGAATTTGGGAAGTCTGTATGGTTAGGAGACTGGATCTCCTCTGAATGCAGTTACTCTTTTGCTTTGCTGTAACACCTGCTCTCGTTTGTGGCCAGCCATGGGCCTTGGCTTGGGAAAGAGGGTAAGAAAATGCAGTGTGTCGCCCTTATCACATGCCTTTATTGACTGGTGAGGGGAGAAGGAAGCAATTCTTATTGCCAGAGCCAAGTGGGAAACAGCTGGTGGCAGGGAAAGAACAGCAAAGCTAATGTGTTTTCTTAGGAAATGTTACTAGTACATTCTGACTAAGAGGAGTTTCCCCCATGAGTGATGTTGGCAGACCATTCAGTTCCCAGTCCTGATTTTCTTACTGAATTATGACTGGTGATTTGGACTACCTAGATCTTGGCTCTGCCATTTTCTTTTTTCTTATTTGAGTTAAACTTTCAGTTTGTCTCTTTGGGACTAGTTCTTGAAAAATTGCTGTTTTTCTAAACTTTTGCACAGCTTTTTCAACTTATTTGTTTATAGTATTCTAAATTATATTTTCTATGTTTTCTTCTTGTGCTACCTTATTTCTGGCTCATTCAGCTTCTCAATTTTAGGGGAGATGGATGCATTTGGTATTCGTTGAAATTGGGGTGGTAGTAAAATATCTAAATGGAGTTCTATCACAGTGAAAACTTAAAACAATATGAGCAGTACAAAAGAAAGTTGTCAATGTTAGGGTTACATGTTTTGGAGTCACTGGTAGTGTTGAAAGTCAGCGTTTTTGAGTGGCTATGAAGTAAAGGGAATATGAAGGGCAACAAAAGCCTGATGTCTGAATCTTAGGAAGTTAAATTTTTGGAACAGGAAGAGAGGGGCAAGAAAGGGAAAGAGAAGAAACCATTTAAGTTAATATTATAAACTACAATGAAAGAGAAAACTTATGAAAAGAATATGTAGGCCTCTCTCAGTGAGACAAAAACCCTACTAGCATGAAAACCTCATAATGCCATTGATGCACTCTCATATAGTGCCCTCTGGTGGAATGCAATTGATACCTCTTTCCTGGAGGTTTTTTTACAATATATGTATCACAAGCCTTTATGATGTACATATCCTAAGGAAGTAACTAAGAATCAACTCAGATTTAGTTTCAAGACTGTTCAGATTGACTTTCTTTATAATAGCAAAAAATTAGGAGCAAACTAAAAGTTCAGCAGCAGTTATCAATGAAAAACATTGATAATTGTGTTTTTTAAAATTAGGTTTAAGAAAAGCATATGGGGTTTCTATTTTGGAATGGCAGAGTAAGGACCTCCAAAAATCTGTTCCTCCATAAAGCAATGAGAATACTGGCAAAGACTGTCAAAGTCAATTTTCTGAGAACTTTGGAAATCAGCTAACACCTTTCAGCAATCTAAAGTGGATTCAAGAAAAACACCTGACTCTCAGTAAGAATAGTGAGCCATGTCGTCCTTAACTTACTGTAATCTTATCCCCCTTTACCAGCTCTGTGGTAGTCTGGAAAAACAGCCTCACAACTATGGTAGTTATGAAAACTAGCCCCTTAGTAGACAGTGGAGGGGTCATAATGGCATTGGAGCTCCCCAAAAGCACATCTCCAGAGAATTGTCACTATTTGACCTCTGTGCCAGCTGGCTGAAAAGTTCTGTTTTCAGGGCCCATCTTTATTTGACTTGGCCCATACCTTGTTCTTTGAGAAAACTCTTACTCACAGGGCACTTGTTGAAACTAATCAGCACCATTTATTTAACATAGCAGTCATCTTGAGGTGGCATCAGCAGGCTGACAGAAAGCTTAAAAGGAAGAACTGGGTAATGAGATGTCCATATGGGCCTTTGAAAAGTTTTGATCTATTCTTGGGTCCTTATAAGACCACATGTATGTGTAGAGTTGTGCACATACCCAGGAAGAAACTGAAAAGACCAAATTCTCATGTCTGGCTGGCTTTGAGACTCTGTGCAAGCAAGAACTGAAGGCTAAAGCAGAGATGTAAAATGCTTGATGGAGTGTTGAAGGTGTGCCACAACACAAACAAAACCCTCACTTAATTGTTCAAGGCATTGAAAGAAATACCTGCCAGTTATTAGGTGATCACTTACCTAACTGAACAGAGACTTCAGTGGCCACATATGACAAGGAATACAGACTTTATAGAATTAGTGGAGGAAAGTCATTAAACAAATAGCAACACTTTGGAATCTTATTTCCAAAATTGACACGTTATATTAATTTTGAATGCACAGTTTTGAACAAAAGATTACAAGTTAGGCAAAGAAACAAGTAAGGATGGCTTATACCTAGGAAAAAACCTTACTAGACATAGATTTTAAATCAGCTATTAAAAATATGTGCAAAGAACTAAAACCATGTCTAAATATTTAAAGGAAAGTATGAGAACAGTGTCTAACCAAATAGACAATATCAATAAAGAGATAGAAATCATAAAATAGAAATTCTGGAACTGAAAAGTATAATAACAGAAAATTTGCTGGAGAACTTCAATAGCAGATTTCCACTGATAAGAGCAAAAAATCAGAGAATTTGAAGATGGTTGGTATTATCCAGTCAGAGGTACAAAGAAGAAAAGAATAAAGAAAAATGAATAGAGCCTTAGAGACCTGTGGTGCACTATCAAGCATTCTCACACATGCATAATAAAAGTTCCAGTAGGAGAGGAGAGAGAAAAGGGGACAGAAAGAATATTTGAAGAAATAATGGCTGAGAACTTTTCATGTTTGATGGAAAACATTAATCTGCACACCCAAGAATTCAATGAATTCTAAATAGGACAAAATCAAGGGAGCCATACCTGGACACATCATAAACTGTTGGAAGACAAAGACAGAATTTTGAAAGCAGAGAGAGAAAAGTGACTCATCACATACAAGGGATGTTCTATAAAATTAACAGTTGATTTTTAAGTCAGAAATGATAGAGGCCAGAAGTCAGTGTGTTGAAAGGAAAAGACTGTCAACCAATAATTCTGTGGCAGTAAAATTGTCCTTCAGAAACCAAGGAGAAATTAAGAATTTCAAGATAAATAAAAAGAGGGAATTTATTGCCAGCAGATTTTCCCTAAAAGAAATACTAAAGGGAGTCCTTTATGCTGAAATGAAAGAATATGATACAGTAACTTCAATCCATATAAAGAGATGAAGAGCACCAGTAAAGATAACATAAGTAAATATAAAAGTACAAATTATTTTTGTTTGTAACTCTTTTTACCTGCTATCTGATTTTGAAAGATGACTGCATGAAGAGATAATTAGAAGACTGTGTCAATGGGCTTATGACATGTAGATATGTAATTTGTATGACAATAGTTATACATATGAGGGAGGAGGGAAGAGACATATTAGAGCAAAGTTTTTATGTATTACTGAAATTAAGTTGGTATTAATTTGATTATTTTAAGGTGTTCATTGTATTCTCAGAGCAATCACAACTTATAAATGTAATCACAAGGCAGAGTTGGTAGAAGGGGTGAAAAAACATGATCCAACTGTATGCTATGTATGATAGACACACTTTAGATTTAAAGACATAAATAGACTGAAAGTAAAAGAATTGAAAAGATAAACCATGCAAATAGTACCTAAGAAAGAGCTAGGCCATGCGCAGTGGCTCATGCCTGTAATCCCAAGCACTTTGGGAGGCTGAGGCGGTGGATCACCTGAGATCAGGAGTTCGAGACTAGCCTGGCCAACATGGCAAAACCATGACTCTACTAAAAATACAAAAAAATTTTGCCAGGCGTGGTGGCACACGCCTGTAGTCCCAGCTACTCGGGAGGCTGAGGTGGGAGAACTGCTTGAACCCGGGAGGTGGGGGTTGCACTGAGCTGAGATTTGCCACTGCACTGCAGCTTGGGTGACAGAGCAAGACTCCGTCTCAAAAAAAAAAAAAAAAAAAAAAAAAGCTGGAGTGGCCAATGTCAGATAGAACATAAACTTTAAGGCAAAAATTACTCCTAGAGACAACCAAGGAGATTTTATAATGGTAAAAGGATCAGTTCATCAGGAAGACATAACAATTACAAACATACTTAACAGCAGAGCCCCAAAAACACACTAAGCAAAAACCGATAGAATTGAAGGGAAAAATAGATAATTCAGTTATAATAGTGGGAGCCTTTAATAGCTTATTTTCAAGATGGATAGAACAACTAAGCATAAGATCAGCAAAGAAATAGAAAATGTGAGCAACACTACAAACCAACCAGATTTAACAGGTATCAGTAGAATACTCCACTCAGGAACAGCAGAATTTAAATCTTCCTTAAGTGTACATGTAATCTTTTCTATATTTAACCATATATTAGGTCACAAAACAAACCTCAATAAGTTTAAAAGGATTGAAAGCATATGAAGTATGTTTGTTAACCAAATTGGAATGAAACTAGGTATCAGTAACAGAAGGGAAGTTAGGAAATTCTGAAATACATGGAGATTAAACAACATATGGCTAAATACCCAGCGTTTCAAAGGGAAATTAGAAAATACTTTGAGATGAATAAAAATGGGAACAGCATACTAAAACTTGGATAATGCATCTAGAGGAGTACTAAAAGGGAAATTTATCACTGTAAACATTTATATTAAAAAAGAAGAAAGATCCCAAATTAGTAATTTAACCCTAACCTTAAGAAACTAGAAGAAGAGCAAACTTAAAGCAAGTAGAAAGGAATGATAAAGACTGAAGAGGAAATAAATGAAATAGAGAATAGAAAAAAAAAAATCAGCAAAAGTAGAAATTGGTTGTTTGTAAAGATAAACAAAATTGGCACACCTTTACTATAGTGATCAATAAAAAGGGAGGACTCAAGTTACTAAAAACAGGAATTGAAGGGGGCACATTACTACTGACTTGACAGAAATAAAAAAAGAGTACTATGAAAGGAATACCATGAACAATTGTATGCCAGCAAATTAGATAACCTAGGTGAAATGGATGAATTCCTAGAAAGACACAAGCTGCTGAAAATGACTAAAGAAGAAATATAAAATCTGAATAGATCTATAATAATAAAGAAATTAGTAATCAAAAAACCTCCCACAAAGCCCTGGCTGAGATAGCTTTATGGTGTATTCTACCAAAGGTTTAAAGAATTACAATAGTTCTCCATTATGTGTGGAAGAGACAATCCAAGACCCCTAGTGGATGTCCCAAACCTCGGATAGTACCAAACCTTATGTATACTGTGGTTTTTGTTATGTGTACATATCTATGATAAAGTTTAGTTTATAAATTAGGCACAGTAAGAGATCAACAACACTAATAGAACAGTTACAATAATATATTTTAATAAAAGTTATGTGAATAGAGTCTCTATCTCTCAAAATGTCTTACTGTTCTGTACTCACCCTTCTTGTGATTATCAATCTCATAACTGGGACAGCTACTAAGTGACTGACTGATCAACTAGCAGGTAATGTCTTCAGCTGGATAAAGGAATGATTAAAGTCCTGGGCAGGAGGGAACAGGACAGTGTGAGATTTTATCACACTACTCAGAATGGTGCACAGTTCAAAACTTATGAATTGTTTATTCTGGAATTTCCATTTAATATTTTCTGACTGCGGTTGACCACAGGTAACTGAAACTAGGGAAAGTGAAACTGTGGATAAGAAGAGACTAATGTAACATCCATTCTTCAAAAAGTCTTCCAAAAAATAAATGAGGGAACACTTCTTAACTCATCCTTTGAGGCAGATGTCAATCTGATACCACAGCCAGATAAACAGTTCACAAGAAAGCTGTAGACCAATACCCATAATTAATATAGGTGTAAAAATCTACCACAAAATAATAGTAAACTAAATCCAACATGTAAAAAATAATATCATGACCAAGTACAATTTTTCTTAGGAATATAAGGTTGGTTCAACACATGAAAATCAATTAATGAATGTACCATATTAATAGAATAAAGGGTAAAGACCAAATGGTCATCTCAACAAACTCTCAGAAAGTATTTGACAAAGTCCAGTATCATTTTATGATTATAACCAACTCAACAAACCAGTTAGTAATAGAAAATGAATAAAGGCCATCTACAACAAAAAACCCTACAGCTAACATTGTACTTAATGTTAAAAGATTGAAAGCTTTCCCCCTAAGATGAAGAGTTAGACAAGAATGTCCACTTTTGCCACTTATTTGAATACTGTACTGGAGGTTCTAGCCAGGACATTTGGGTAAGAAGAAGAAATTGAAGGCATACAAATTGGAAAGGAGAAAGTAAAACTTTCTGTTAGTAGCCAGCATGATCATGTATATGGAGAATTAGCAATAATTAAACAATAATTGTTTTAAAAACTTACTAGAACTAATAAGTTCAACAAAGTTGCAGAATACAAGATGAATATATAAAAATCACTTGCATTTCTTTATGGTAGCAATGAATAGTCCAAACATGAATTTAAGAAACCATCCATTTACAGTAGTATCAAAATGAACAAAATACTTGGGAATAAATTTTACACAAGAAAGTATAAGATTTGTATACTGAAAAATACTAAAGATCATTGAAAGAAATTAAAGAAGACTCAAATGAATAGAAAGAAACCCCATGTTCATGCAGTGGAATACTTAATATCATTAAGATGGCAGATCTCTCGATGTACAGATGCGATGCCATCTCTATGGAATTTCTAGCTGCCTTTTTTTTTTCCCTGAAATC
This sequence comes from Homo sapiens, assembly GCF_000001405.40. Lineage (NCBI taxonomy): Eukaryota > Metazoa > Chordata > Mammalia > Primates > Hominidae > Homo > Homo sapiens. The sequence goes on along the minus strand of NC_000003.12, from coordinate 130,694,299 downwards.
GATGATCTGATCCTAAAATCCATAAAGAATTACAAGAGACTCAGAATAACCAAAACAATATTGAAAGAAAAGAACCAAATTGAAGGACTCACACTTCTGTATTTCAAAACTTGCTACAAAGCTACAGTAAATTAAGACAGTGTAGTACGGGTATAAGGATAGACATATAGATCATGTCTATGTCTATGTCTGTGTCATATATTCATGGTATAGAACTGACATGCAGAAGTACATTTATGGTCATTTTTTTTTTGACAGAGGTGTCAGGATATTTCAGTTGGGAAAAGAATGGCCTTTAGAACAAGCAGTGCTGGGATTATAGGATTTCCGCATGGAAAAAGATGAATTTCAGTAGACTTATTCAAAATGGATCATAGACTAAATGTAAGAACTAAAACCATAAAACTTAGAAGAAAACATAGGCATGTAAATCTTCATGACCATGGATTAGGCAAGGATTTCTGAGAAATTACGTGAAAAACACAAGTAACAAAGGAAAAAATAGACAAATGGGACTTCATCAATGTTATAAACCTTTGTGCTTCGAAGGACTCTATCAAGAAAGTGAAAAGACAATCCACAGAATGGGAGAAATAACATATATCATATATCTGATAAAGATCTATTATTTAAAATGTATAAAGAACACTTACAACTCAACAATAAAAAGACAAATGACCCAATTAAAAAGCAAATGATGTGAATAGATGTTTCTCCAAATAGGACCAATAAGCGCATGAAAAGATGCTTCTTAGTCACTAGAGAAATGTAAATCAAAACCACAGTGAGATACTCCTTCACACCCACTACAATGGCTATAGTAAAAAAGGCAGTGACCAGTGTTAGGATGTAGATAAATTGAAAGCTTTATACATTGCTGGTGAGAATGTAAAAACAGTGCAGTAACTTTGGAAAACAGTTTGGTAGCCTTTCAAAACGGTAGACATAGAGTTACCATATGACCCTATGATTCCATTCCTAGCTATATACCCAAGACAGTTGAAAACATATGTTCACACAAAAATCTGTACACAAATGTTCATAGCAGCATTATTCATAATAGCCAAAAAATGGAAATTATGATAAAATGTGGTATATCTATACAGTTGAAAACCAGCCATAAAACGGAATGAAGTACTGCTACATGCTATAATGTGAGTAAACCTTGAAAACAGTATGCTAAGTGAAAGTAGCCAGATCCAAAGGCCACATATTGTATGATTTCATTTATATTAAGTATTCAGATAGATAAATCCATAGAGACACAAAGTAGATTAGTAATTGCCAGGTGCTGGGGGAAGGGAGCATTGGGAAGAGACAGCTAATGGATACAGGGTTTCTTTTGGGTATGCTGAAAATGTTCTGGAATTAGATAATGGTGATAGTTGTAAAATGTGGTGACTTTGTAAACCCCTTTAAAAGGGTAAATTTGGTGATATGTGAATTATATGTCAATATTAAAAGAGATGGGGAGAGAAAGCCTAAGTGTGTGTGAGAGACCAAGCATATTGGCACTCCCATCTCTGCCATTGCTTGTCACTGGCTGTCTTTACTCATTTACAGTACTGATTGGGCCCCTGTGGGGCCCCTGTGGGCATTGTGTTTGAGACATTTGTCCACACAAAGACTTATACACAAATATTTATAGCAGCGTTATTCATAATAGCCAAAAGGTGGAAATGACTCACATGTTTATCAGCAGATGAATGGATAAGCAAAATGTGATGTAGCCATACAGTGGAATAATATTAAGCCTAAAAATGAATGAGGTATTACATACCACACCATAAACTTTGACATTATGTTATGTGAAAGAAGCTTGATATAAAAGACCACACAATGTATGACTGTATTTATATGAAATGTCCAGAACAGGGAAATTCATAGAAAATAAAGTTGATTAGTTGTTGCCAGAGGCTAGGGAGAGGGGGAAATAAGGAATGAATGCTAATGGGTATGAGGACAGCTTATTTTTTGATTTCTTATAATTAATAAAAATGGCCTGGAATTACTGGTGATCTTTGCAGAATTCTGTTAATATACTAAAAATCATTGAATTATGCACTTTAAAATCTATGGTATTTGAAAATCATTTCAGCAAAGCTGTTATTAAGAAAAACAACTAGGCCAGGTGTGGTGGCTCACACCTGTAATCCCAGCACTTTGGGAGGCTGAGGCAGGCGGATCACTAGGTTGGGAGATCGAGACCATTCTGGCTAACATGGTGAAACCCTGCCTCTATTAAAAATACAAAAAAATTAGCTGGGTGTGGTGGTGGGCGCCTGTAGTCCCAACTACTCAGGAGGCTGAGTCAGGAGAATGGCCTGAACCCAGGAGGCAGAGCTTGTGGTGAGCCCAGATCGCACCACTGCACTCCAGCCTGGGTGACAGAGTGAGACTCTGTCTCAGAAAAAAAAAAAAAAAAAAAAAAACTAGAGAGAGATACTGATAAAATATATGAAATATTACAGATTTTTTTAAAAAAAACAAGTGTGAATGTATTGTAATATGTATAGAAAACCTTTTGAAGGATATGTAACAAAATGTTAAGTGTTTCTGGGTGGTATTATAAATGTTTTTACATTTCTGTATTTAGTACACTTAATATGCATTAACTTTTATAATAAAGTGAAATAAATTACACAAGATAGATGAATGTGTTCGGTGTTCAGGGGCTTTTGACCTTTTAGAGGTATGGCCCCTTAGAAGCGTAAAGTTGCAGTCTGTGTGGAGAGTAATGGAGGAGGGAGTTGGTGATAATGGAGGTCCCCTGTGTAGATGATATATTCAAGAAGTTTGGCAGTGAATTCAAAGAGAGTAGAAAACACAGCTTGAGAGGTCAGCATATGTGTGGGAGAGACTGAATATTATAATTTTGCATTTATGAATGTTTTATGGTTTACATATTACCTGATTTTCCCTATGGTCCGGTTAGGGAAATAGGTCAGTACTTGTTTTGTAGATGAGTAAACTGAGGCATACAACTGGTTAAGTAGCTTGACCAACATCATATAAGTAGTTGGTAGTAGAAGTCCGTGATTCCAAAGCCAATGCTTTTCCTTCTGTGCCAAGCTGTGTGATAGAATAACTGAAGGGTATAAGAGTGAGGGTTTAAGATATTCCAGGAGTTGAAGAAGATAGGATCAGGACCACAAGTATGGGAGTTCTCATTAGAAAAGAGTTCAAAACCAGCCTGGGCAACATGGCGAAACCCCATCTCTACAAAAAATTAGCCAGGCATGGTGATGCACGCCTGTAGTCACAGCTGCCAGGGTAGCTGAGGTGGGAGGATCACTTGAGCCCAGGAGGTCGAGGCTGCAGTAAGCTGTGATCGCACCACTGGCCACTACACTCCAGCCTGGCAACAGAGTGAGACCCTGTCTCAGAAAAAAAAAAAAAAAAAAAGAGGAGAAGGAGGGGTAGTCTATGATAGAGAGAAGTGTGTGCAGATGGCCATTTGAAAATATCGGAAGAAAAGGCAATTTTTGTAACAGTTCTTTTGAGAGGAAATTCTTGTTTTTGTCCTGAGATCAGGGAGATTAAATGGACCCCAAAGTAATAATTTTGCTTGCTAATGGCCATGTGGATATTTAACATTAGCAGTGACATTGGTTCATAAATGAATTTTATTTTTCTTTCATTCAGATCTATTCTTACATACAGCCGAATTGGAGGACGAGTCAAGACGCTCACATTCTGCCAAGGCTCCCACTATTTAGCCATAGCATCTGATAATGGTGCTGTCCAGCTTCTTGGAATTGAGGCTTCTAAGCTGCCCAAGTCTCCTAAAATCCATCCTCTACAAAGCAGGTATCTTATCTTTTGTCTTTCTTAAACATTGTATTTAGTGCACTACAGTACCTTAAGTCTCCTTTCTACCCTGCAATGTAGTTGGGATCAACTAAGGGCCTCTTACATTGCACTTCTTTTTTTAAGCCCATAAAATAAATAAATAAATAAATAAAATTTTAAAAATGTGCTTCCAGCTCAAAACTGTCAAATGTGGTTAGTCTCAGAAGATGGTATCTATGTATCTTATCTTCTGCAAACTTGTCAAGAGGTCAAAGGGGCAGCTTTGAACTTGCAGCTCATCCCAGTCTAGAATTTGTCTGAATAACCTAAAATTACCAGTTATATCTTCTGTCTCAGCTACTAAAAACACAACTCTGCCTGATTTTGAGAATGTGAGTGTTCTTCATTAAGGAAAACTCAAATGTCAGCATTCTGTTGCTTGGCATTAAAATCTCTGAAGTTGATGGGGACATGGAGAAGAGCATTTAGACAGATGATTTGCTTATCATTTTAAAACAAAATAGCGGTGGTTTTATTTAAGAATGTTTATTTTTTATAAATTGTGGTTGCTTGCAGATTAAATGCATACAAGGTAAGATATTTAAAGACAAAGCAGAACAATTTTTGACCAATATGTGTTACACACTGAAGATTTCAAAGACAAGATATGTTATGCTTTAAGAATCTACAGTCTAGTGGAAGAAATAGACAAGTGAACAGACAATTTCAGTGCAATGTGGTAATTTTTACATGGATAACAGGAGCCAGCTTGAAAGGGAAGACAACAGGCAAGACCAGGTGTGAGTTAGCCAGGTGAAGCAAGGTGGTTAAGAAGGGCCAGGTGGAGGTGGTGGACCCCACAGAAGAAAGCAAAATGAGGAGTTGTTTAGTGGATGATAAGCCATGGCCATTAGGTAGCTTAAGGCAGAAAGGGATATTTGTTGGGTCACCTGGGCTTTTGTTTTGTTTTGTTTTGCTTTTTGCATTTAAAAAGATTTTCCACACATTCATTGAACAGATTTAAGCAGCTTTTGTCCAGGACATATTCTTTATGGCCTTTAATAACAAATACCAGCCTATTTTTAAGAAAGTCTGTTTCCGCAGATGATGTCTGTATAGTAACATATCTATTGAGTTTCATGTAAATTATTTAATAACTTGGCATAGTGCACTGTGTGATGACTGAGCCCACAGGCCCTACACGCAGACAGACATGCACATTCAGTGCACGGTTGTCTCTCAGCCAATGGCACTTTTCACTGTAAATGTTACTGTCTTAAAGCAAACACTAGATAACTACCTAACTACCTAGGTAAGGAGACAGGCAGGATGTTTAGCTTTTACTCTGCCTCACAGTGTGTGCTTCAAAGAAACTTTGCCATAAGGTCATAAGTTTTTGATTGTTTTGGTTATATCAACTGTTCTCATAGATAGCTCTTACTAATTAGAATTTGTGGAAGGAACCATTTTACATTTTAGTTGGCAGTTGGATTTTTTCATCACTCCTCAATGGGAAAATATGGTCAAAATTAGAATATTTGTAAGTACAAGTGTTTATCCAAGGGTTAGCAGACTACAGCTTGCAGTATGGTCCATAAAATAAGAATGATGTTTGCATTTTTAAAGGGTTGCAAAATAAAAATAATATTCAACAGGAATGTATGTGATTCACAAAGCCTAAAATATTTACAATCTGACTCCTTATAGATGATGTTTGCTGACCTCTGATCTAAAAGATAAAACTAAAACTGCCTGTATGAATGCATGATATGTGTGAATAAAGGAGACTGGCCAATGTTTTATGATGTTCTTTTTAGTTTTAAAAATGCCTCAGCTTCAAAAAAAAACTAGTACACTTATATAGTAGAATAATAATCTGCATTATAAAGGAATGAGTTATTGACTCATGCAACAACATTGATGAATCTTAAATGCATTTTGCTAATTAACCCACTTAACTGTATACCACAAAAAGTGAATTTAAATGTATGTAAAATTTAAAAAGTTAACCAGGATGTAAGGGGAAAGATGGAATGCAGTCTGTGACAAATTAATCTGTTTTACAAGTGAATCACATAATCACATTGAAGGGCATGGCGAATAAAGGAGTAACTTTGGAAAACAGTTTTTGAATTTGACACTGGGAGGCTAATGACAAAAGGAACTCAACTCAAACGTTGTATTCTAGTTGGTTGTTTTTCACAGGGTTAACAATTTCATTTTAGCAGTTTCAGGTTTAACAATTCTGAAACTTTACCCTTCGTTTATATATTCAGGTTGAACAAATAAGTAAATGTATTGTAGTTATGAGAGCCAGGTTTGTCACTGTTAGAGAAAGGTATTACAGATGAATGAACTCTGGTGCTAGATAGGAGTTGGAGATTATCAGTATGGACTCATGATATTTGTGTATGCATAGGCATAAATATATACATGTATACAAACACACGAACAGATGCAGAAATATAGATGTGTCCACATGCCTGAAGTAGTATACATAATATATCTTTTAGCTCTGGCCATTGAGAGGAACTAGAAGCAGGCACACTGCCGTAGCAATGAACACATAGGGCTTAGATTTTTGTTTCTAAATACCATTCTTCAATAAAAGGAACTAGTACTTCTAGAACTGGTTGATTCCAGGTGTGTGGGAAAAATAAAACAAGCCTGGAGCATCTTGTGGTGTCAAAAAATTAGGAAGTATTTAAAAAAGTACATTGAAAGGGCACAAGAGCTAACATGAAAGAGCTTCCAGTGGGCAAAGTTGGAACAACTTGGGCAACAAAATAAATAATTGTAGTATTAGATTGTAACTCAAAGAATAAAATAAATATCTGTGAATCCATAGTGGTATAAATAAGTGAATAAATAAGTTTATGGGGAAGAAGTGACAACTTACAGAAGAATCCCAGTCAACTAATGTAGAAGGACTGAGGGAAACAAAAAGTCACCATTAGCTTACCACAGGCATGCTCCCTCAAATGGATGTTAAAATTAGTGGGCCAAAGTTAAAGCAGAAACTGAATTTTTGCATTGTCTCAAAGTATTTTTGCCAAATATTGAGTAATTATAAAGGGAAAAAATGTTTACAATGGAGAATCCTAGCAGACACCAGCTTAATTCACATGATTCAAGTTAACATCATAAGTGATTCAGGTTAAACATTTCTAATCTGAAAATCCAAAATGCTCCAAAAACTGTAAGTTTTCGAATGCTAATATGATGTCACAAGTGAAAAATTCCACACCTGACTTTATGGGACAGTTTGCAGTTAAAACTTTGTCTCATGCACAAAAGTATTTTGTACAAAATTACCATCAGGCTAGGTGTATAAGGTATATATGAAACAAATGAATTTCATGTTTAGACTTGTGTCCCATTCCCAAGATACCTCATTATGTATATGCAAATGTTTCATGCTAAAAAAAAAAAAAAACCCAAATCTGAAACAGTTGTGGTTGTGAGCATTTTGGCTAAGTGATAATTAACCTGTACATGCTAACATCCGGTCCTCCCTCACATGATGCACTGAGAAGGGCACATCACTTCTGTGGTATCTTTCCCAATAAGGCATAATTTCAGGATAATAATGAGAAAACATCAAACAAACCCAAATTGAGGAACATTCTCTAAAATAACCAGTAGTCTTCAAAAATATCAAGGTCATGAAAGACTGAGGAACTGTCACAGATTGGAAGAAATTTAATATTGCCCTGTATTATCCTGGATTGGATCCTGGAATAGTAAAAGGACACTATTGGGAAAACTGATAAAATCAGAACACGTTCTGTACTCTAATTACTAGTATTATAGCAAGGTTAATTTCTTAGTTTTGATAAATGTTCTATGGTTATATAAGTTGTTTACCTAAGGGGAAGCTTGAGTGAAGGATATACAGCAACTCTACTATTTTTGCAATTCTTCTCTACATCTGGAATTTTTTTAATGTGTCGGCTTTCGTTTTCTTGATAGAGTCACATAGCTCTGGTTTCTTGACTATGGATAGGATATAAAGTCATCTTAAAGGGAGACTAGTGCTATGTTTTCAGTGACTGGAAACGTCTGTGCTTTGTGTATTTCTCTAGAATTCTAGATCAGAAGGAGGACGGTTGTGTTGTGGATATGCATCACTTCAACTCTGGAGCACAGTCTGTTCTTGCCTATGCCACTGTGAATGGCTCTCTGGTTGGCTGGGACCTTAGGTCTTCAAGCAATGCGTGGACTTTAAAGCATGATTTAAAGTCGGGCCTCATCACTTCCTTTGCTGTGGACATCCACCAATGCTGGCTCTGCATTGGTAAGCTAACTTTCAAGTCATTGGCTGGGTTTTGAATGCCACTAATGCCTGCAATTGCTGTCTTGTGAAATCAGTTTTTTCCTCTTTGTTCATTGGTAATTTTTCCCGTCTTTTTTTTTTTTCATAGTCATGTTAAAATAACTTGCAATTTTATTTTTTTTTCATTAAAAAACAGGTTTGAAAGGGTGGAATCAGTATCCTAAGGCATAAAACAGTTTCCTCATTGTCCTTGTTCTTAAATGAGCCTCCTTACTTTATAATCATTAAGTGATCAGATTTGCTGGCATTCTCTTACTCTGGCAGTGAAGCAGCAGACTTAAGGAAAATAGCATCCAAGTTTGGGCAGGCATGGTTTAAATTCCAATAGCTTTAGGCAGGTTATTTAACTCCTCTGAGGTTCAGCTATCTTCATCTTCAAATGGGGCTAATCCTTTCAAGGGCAGCTTTGAGGATTTAATGAAGTAAAAGGATCTGTCACAGTGCCTGTTGTTGAGAGAAGAGCTAAGCAATGGTTTCTTACTTTATTGTTTGCCTTGTCTCCAAAGGCTAAAGATGAACCAAGTGATCCAGCTTGCTTAAGCAGGATTTTAAAAAATGTATTGTTGCATGATATTCCATTTTATAGATAACAATTTGTGTATCCCTCTATCCCTCAGTTGATGGATAGCTGAGTTGTTTCTAGTGTTTGGCTTTTCAGAGTCAACCTGCTGTAAATATTTGCAAATAAGTCTTTGTAAGGACATATATTTCCATTAATCTCAGGCATATATATACCCAAGAATGGGATTGCTGCTTTTGTAAAATTTCTTTTTTGACAAACAATTGTATATATTTATTGGGTACAGTGTGTGATGTTTTGATACATGTATTAATTGTGGGATGATTAAATCAAACTAACAAATCTATCACCTTACCTACTTATTTGCTATGAAAACATTTAAAATTTACTCTTGGCAACTTTGAAATATACACTGTATTATAATCACCATTCTCTGCAGTAGATCACTAAAGCTAATTCCTCCTAACTGAAACTTTGTACTCTTTGATCAACATTTCCCCTTTTCCCATCTGCCCCTTTCTTAAGTTTCGCGTTTTTCCCTCATGGTGTTTTGAACCTGCCGCTTGAGAAACTACCACCTTATTCTTTTTTGGTTGGCATGCTTATTCAGAGAGTTATCTTCTGTGCTTGAATTTAGGTTTTCTAGATTCCCTAACTCATATTTGTTACACTGTTAAGTGTGTGCCCTTTGCTTTATTACTTTTTATGTAGTTTATATGGAATGCATTTTTTTTGCCTTTTGTGTGAATAAACTGCACAGGGATAGAAAGATGTAACATACCTGTCTATAGAATGTTTAAGAGGGAAGGGCAAATGGAAACAATTGAAATCTGATGATAGCTACAAAGCTGCTGCTACTTTGGGATTGGTAAAGTGATCATTGAATACCAGTAAAACATCTTTGGGTATTTAAGGCAATCTGAACATTTTGACTTACCAAATTCATTTTGTATCTTCTCAATAGCTTCTGTTTTTGTGGGTGCCTTCGGCAATTAATAACAATGTCAGCAACTAATAAATTATTCATTTTCAATTTACATTATTAGTAGTAGCATTATGATAAGCACTTTATATCTCAGTTATTTATCAACCAAAGGGGTATTGTTTGAAAATGGTGAGACAGCTTCATGAGAACAAAACTTTTTTTTAAGTAACGAAGGCATTTTTCAAATAAATTCATAAAAAGCTAATACTATTTTTCATTTGTATAAATGCAGCTTGATGCACTTTGATCATTAGATGGTAATCTTTTTTTCCTTTTTTCTTTAAGGTACAAGCAGTGGTACCATGGCTTGTTGGGACATGAGGTTCCAGTTGCCAATTTCAAGTCACTGTCATCCTTCCAGGGCTCGAATCAGACGCCTCTCAATGCACCCTCTGTATCAGTCCTGGGTGATTGCAGGTAAGATGGAGGGCTGGCTTTCATGTGTTGGGAGATTTTCTTGGAAAGTACATAATAACCTGTTGCCAAAACTCATGTTTTTAGTTTTATTTTACATATGAACTGAATGCTTGATTGTCTTCTGATTATGGAGGTTGCCACTATTGATACCTCACTGTCATCTATGTTCAAAAATGATCTCATCAGTCACCATCATTACTCCATTCTTAACTGTCCACCACCATCTCCTATCCCTTTTTTCTTCTTCCTGTGTCCCCTATTTTTGTTACAGCTGCCACCATCTTCCTAGAGAGCTAAGTTAGAAACCTTGACTCATCCTTCTTTGTTGCAATTTCTTGTTGCTCTGCTTCCTTTGTGTTGCTTGAAAGCTTCCCTTCCCTTCCTTCATTGGGCACCCAAATTTTCTTTTATGGCTCCTGGGCATGATACTTGGGCAAGTCTTGAAACTGATTTTCCTCATCTTTAATACGTAGTTAAAAATACTTACCTTGTAGAGTTATAGGGAACTGAGATAAAACATGCAAAATACATACTCTAGCACACAACTAATGCTTGATAAATAATAGCTCTTATTATTCTTAGGTTTTCCCCTCAGCCCTCTTGCCTCTAGGCTCTTTGTGGTCCCTTCTTGTACACATAGTCCATCGCATACACTGCTGCTATCAAAGTCACCGTGTTGCCAAGTTCTAAGGCTATTACTGTGAGCCCTTTTCTTATTTGACTTATCATTTGATCAGTTGATTTCTGTTATTTTCAAATACTTTCCTTACCTGGTTTCAAGGACATTTCTCTTGGTTCTCCTACTTCTTGATCTGCTCGTTCCTTCTCATCTTCCTGGCTTTTAAATTGTGGCCTGCCTCAGGACCCAGTCTTTGGTCTCAACCACTTCTCCTACACTGGCTCTGTGTTTGATCTCATGCAGTCTCATGCTTTAACTACTAAATTTATTCAGACTCATACCTATTTAAAATCTCTCTTAAGATGTCTAATAGCCATTGTAAACTCAACATGTCTAACTAAAATGAATGCTTGATTTCCTCTCTACTAAATGTCTCCACCACTGCCTCCTACCCTGCTCTTCCTATGGTATTCTTTCAGTAAATGGCAGCTAGGTGCTCAGAAGCCTGGAATTATCCTCGACTGCTCTTTTTCTCATCCCACTTCCAGTCCATTAGCCAGTCCTGTAAGTTCTATTTTAAAGTATAGCCAGAATTTGATCACTCTTCACTACCTCCATCACTATCTCCCTAGTCCAAACCACTATAATCTCTTTCCCCTATTAATGTAATATCTTCTTCACAGCCTGCTTCTGTCTGTACCTCTTAAGACCATTTTTTTCTTCTGCTCAGTACCTTCCATTGGCTTCTTGGTCCAAAAGACTTTATGGGACCGGCCTTCTTGCCACCTCTCTGACCCTTATCACCTACAATTCTAACAGGAAACAGTAGCACACTCAAGGTAGGATAATTTAAGAATTTATTTTCAAATAAAATTGTTTACAAAGGTTTGGGTGTAGGGGGTATTAAAAAAGATAGCACAGTAATATGGGCTGGTAACAGCAGAGTAGCAGTAGAAGGCATGAGGGGAGGAGGGCATGGTTACTGAATTTGGGAAGGAGTAGAGAAGGCCACCTTGAAAGGAGCAGTGACTGTGAGATGAGGGATACAACCAGCCTGATATGAATGACTTGACTTTCTTCCCTCCCTCCCTTTGATCTCCTGCTGCGGTTTCCCATAGGCAAGTATTAGTTTCCTATTACATCACAACTTATTTTTTTAATAATTCTAGAGGCCAGAAGTCTGAAATGGGTTTTGTGGACCAAAATCAAGGTAGCAGCAGACTTGTATTCCCTCTGGAGGCACTAGGGGAACATCTATTTCCTTGCCTTTTCCTGCTTCTAGAACCAAATTCCTTGGCTCCTTCTTTCATCTTCAGAGCCAGCAACATAGCATCTTGTTTCATTGTTATACTGCTTTCTGTTCTTGCTGCCAAATCTGCCTCCCTCGCCTAAGGAGATTTGTGATTACATGTAGGGCCCCCTGAGTAATCCAGAATAATCTGTCTCAAGGTCCTTAATTTCATCACATCTGCAAAGTCACTTTGCCACATAAGGTACCATTCACAGGTTCCAGGGGATAGGACTTGGATACCTTTGGGGCCATTATTTAGCCTACCACAGGCTGGCGGACCCAGCCAGAGGGAGTACAGAAGCTTGTTGATGTGGTTCATTCAGGTCAGATTTAGAGCAGCAAATGGAAAATGACCAGCATTACTGCCCTTTCTCCTACTTATCTCCCATTCTCAGTCTGTTCCTGCCACACTGACTTGTTTTTTCAACTAAGCACACTCCTGCTTCAGAAGGGCCTTTGCATTTTTGTCTGTTGTCCCCACTAAAATGGAAGTTCCATGAAACTGGGAATTTTTCTGCTTTGTTTGCCATCTCTTCTTCAGTGCCTAGCGCAGTGACTAGCCCATAGTAAAAATATTTACTATATTTACTGGCTCAGTAAATATTATTAAGTGAATATTATATTGTCTCTCCCCCTGAAAGAAAGAAAGAAATTTTTCTTTCTTTCTCTCAGGACTGCAATTTGTTTTGTTGTAATCTTCTCCAACTCTTTTTGTCTGAGTCAAGATTCTGGCCTTTGTTTCCTTTAGCTGTTCAGGGCAACAACGAAGTGTCCATGTGGGACATGGAGACTGGTGACAGAAGATTTACTCTCTGGGCCAGCAGTGCACCACCACTTTCTGAATTACAGGTTTGACTTCAGTTTTTACTGTAAAGGATGATATTATTCCCCACATCCTAAGTACTTTCAGGCATTTAATCAAACCTAGTATCTGTTGGGCTTTTGGGTTATGTTTAAATTTGGGTTTTTAATAACATCAAGTATCATGTGGCCATTGCTACATGAGTGTTTCCTTGCTAGTGTTCTGCATTATTGGGTAAATAAGTTGCTAGCCCATAAAGCTTGTGATGTCTCTTTGGAACCCCAATAAGATCTAGCATAATTAGGAAAAGGCCAGATTGAAGTAGATAGGGCATACATAACTGGTCTCTCATTTCTTCAGTTAACCAGGTGCTTGTAAAGCTACTGACAGTTAACTTGCCTCTAGAAATAGCACTATCATTTATGGAATACACGGATGTCTTTTATTTGACTCCACATCTATTTCTTTTAAGCCTTCTCCTCATAGCGTCCATGGTATCTACTGTAGTCCTGCAGATGGAAATCCTATCCTACTAACAGCTGGCTCAGATATGAAAATAAGGTACACTATCTCAATACTTTAATAAAATGGATACTTTTACAAGCTGTTATTATAGATACTGATGGCACTGTAATGTTTAAAATCATCTTATAAGGACAGCTGTTAATACTTTATTTGTAACCAATGGTATGCTGTTCTATGAAAACCTCTTTTCCTAATGCAAAAGAAAAAATGCATTGATGAAGATAAGCCAATGATTATTAGTTCCTCCCATTGTCCTGAAGAGATTGTCATCATTTATTTCCTCTTTCCTAGGTTTTGGGACTTGGCTTACCCAGAAAGGTCCTATGTTGTTGCAGGAAGTACTAGTTCCCCATCTGTGTCCTACTACAGGAAAATAATTGAAGGCACTGAAGTTGTCCAGGTACTGTAGTCTTTTCATTCCTTTCACCTTTTGTAAGCACAAACATGGCTTTTGTAAACAGAATTGATTAAAATAAATGGCTTGACCAAGCGAGGAGTACTTTGAATTTAGGAAATTTATTTTTTCTTGAATTTTCTGTATTTAAAAAAATTAACTTTTATTAAGGTAAAATAAGCATAAAGAAAGTGCATATAAGTAATAGCTCAAATGACCAGTATGTACTTTATAACATCGTAAGGAAGCACTTTTATTATCCTCTTACAAATGAAAAAGGCACAGTGAAGTTAAGTAACTTGTTCAAGGTCACACAGCTAGTAAACAGAAAGCTGGGATTTAAACCTGGCTTTGGGACTGTAAAGTTTGTATTCTTGACTCAGGCAAAAACTTCAAGTGAGAATATACCTTTAGCACCTGGGCCAAAGTAGGTGCTCTGTAAATGAAAGTGTGCTTCCTTCATGACAAATATTAATGAGCTTTAGAAGTGGTAGAATATCTGCTATGTATTTTTTATATTTTGGTCATTTATACCTCTTTTTTTTTTTTTTTTTTTTTGAGATGGAGTCTTGCTGGAGTGCAGTGGCACGATCTCTGCTCACTGCATCCTCTGCCTCCCAGGTTAAGCGATTCTCCTGCCTCAGCCTCCTGAGGAGCTGGGACTACAGGTGCACGCCACCACACCCTGCTAATTTTTGTATTTTTAGTAGAGACGGGGTTTCACCATGTTGGCCAGGATGGTCTTGATCTCCTGACCTTGTGATCCACCCGCCTTGGCCTCCCAAAGTGCTGGGATTATAGGCGTGACCCACCGCGCCTGGCCTATACATCTTTTAATTATATTCTATCCCTTTTTTCTTTTGATGTTGGCAAAAGTTAATATGCACAGAATATTGACCTAAGATAAGTTTTCCATAGTTATAAGTGGCTACTCATGAAATCCAATGACTAGGACCCTAGAATGTCATTTTGGCTCCTCTACTCCTTTTGCTCAATGTATTCGTGAAAGCATGACTACAAAAGGTGTTAACTTAAATACAACAACAGTATCTCAGAAGCAGGACTACTGACGAGAGGAAAAATGTGGTACAGACTTTTAACCTCTGGCTTGCTCCCTTTTAATCACCAAACAGGAAATTCAGAATAAGCAGAAAGTAGGACCAAGTGATGACACCCCTCGAAGGGGCCCAGAGTCCCTGCCCGTGGGACATCATGACATCATCACTGATGTCGCCACATTCCAGACCACACAGGGCTTCATCGTAACTGCTTCTAGAGATGGGATTGTGAAGGTGTGGAAATAAAACCTACTGATTTGTATAAATTTTAATAGTTATAAATATAATACTATAACTCGAGAAAAGGCATTTCTAGAGAACAGATTCATTTGCTTAATTTTCAAAATTATGTCTCCATATTACTGTTTCATGACTGACTGACTAAATGACACCCAAAATGGTTAAGATGTACTTGACTAGTTTACTTATGCATCTCTTTGCAAGAATCAGCCAGCCAACAATGTCTGGGATTTTTATTGTATATGTTATAGAGGTGAGAAATGTAAAATATGAAAATGAATATGTTTATTTTGTATTGAAAAAGATGGTTGAAAAGATGGTTGTAAGCTATTATAGTATAAACACATTTTTGCTATTAAAAATGCTATTCAAAGCAGTTAAACTGTATTCATGCATCCTAAGAGTTTGTGGTTTTGGTGGTATTTTTAAATGGTAAATTTAAGCAGAGGAATAATCCCTCCATTAAGCAGAGGAATAATCTCTCCAGCAGCATTTGTTCTAAGGTGAAGAAATGGAGTCCATGTCACAAGGAATCAGTGACAGAACCAGGTGTTAGGTCCAAATCTCTGGACTCTAAATATTGTGCTCTTTCTGCTCTAATATTTCCTGTGTGTTTTACAGTCTGTCTTATTAGTTATTTATTTAACACTGTAGAATTGATTTCCTGCATATTAGTTATACAAGTGTGCCTCCTCTTGGCCATCATTATTTTTTATGGGCTGTACCATAAATTCTGACACTTGGCCCAACAGGTTGCTTTTATCCAGTATAGACTATTGAATGCATGAAAAAGAAAAAAGTACACCAAAAATATACATTTTTAAAAGGCCAAAATTGGTCTTTTCCACTAAGATAAAACCCTTCAAGGTTATGGATTACTATTTGCATACAGACTCCGTATTTAATTCATATCCACTTGCAGAAGGATTTATGGTATTCAGAATATTTTAGTTTAAAATTAGTTACATGAGTCTGTAAAAATCTCAGCCAAGGGAAAAGCCTACTTGCTTAGAAATACTGTAAGAATTTTCTATATTTTTATAATTATATGATTAAGTTACAGTACATATAGTTTACGAAGCATATATCTAGTTTCATGATTCAATACAATCATCCCTAGGTATCTCTGGGGCATTGGTTCCAGGACCTCCCAAGGATAACAAAACCCACAGATGCTCTAGTCTCTTACATAAAATGACGTTGTATTTGCATATAATCTACACACATCTTCTCATATACTTCAAATTATTTCTAGGTCACTTGCGATACATAATACACTGTAAATGCTAAATAGTTGTTATACTCTATTGTTTAGAGAATGAAAAGAAAAATGTCTGTACATGTTCAGTACAGACACAACCATCCTTCTTTTTCTGAATATTTTTTATCCACGGTTGAATTCATGGATGTGGAACACCCACAGATACAGAGCCAACTGTACTTAGTTTTTAGACAGGTAAACAACAAAACTGTCAGAAAATGCCAGTCGTTCAGAAATGTCAAAGTTAGGAATGATGGACTAACTAGGCCTGATAGCTTAGTGGATTGGTAGAAATTGCAAATTTGGCATTGTCATGTTGCCTTGGCTTTGTTTCCCTTAATGTCTGCTAAGACCATATTTACAGGGTTTCTAGCTACTAAGTCAGATTTAGAGTCTCCAAGGGGGTTGGGGAAAATTTTTTTTGCTATATAAACTGTAATGCTGAGATTGGACTTCAGCCTGGAGCCATTAGATAGATAAGCTGTAAGACTGATAAATATGGGAAGTGCTAAGAAAAAAAAATGGAGTGGGCTGACAGAGATATGATCCTTTTCTCCCCTTATCTCCTGCTACCACCCATTCTTCTCTGTCCCCTTGCCCCACAGAAAAGCCCCAGTTTTAAAAAAAAGTTATTTGGTTGAATTCTAAGTATTACAATCTGATGCCGTGTTAAGTTGCATCTCCTTTTGACCTCTACTTAAAAAAAAAAAGTTTGATTCATAGCTCAGTGCAGAGATAATGGGAGGCAGTTCCTTTACAGTCGATTAATTCACATTTTTAAACCAAGAAGCATCCTGGCTTGTGTGATTCTTGGGTTAAATATAGCTTTATTAAATTTATATTCAACTTAATTTTTGCTGTTTCCACTTTTAGGAGAAAGAGGTAAATCAGGGAAAATACTAATATTAGGGATTTTTAAAAAGGAACTTCTATTTGCAGCATGCTTTAGAGCTCTCACCTATTAGTGATTCAAAAGATGGCCCAAAATACTAAAAATAATCTGTCACCAAGGGAATATTTGTTTTATGTTCTTTACTTGCCAATGCAGAAAAACAGACAAATACATCTTAATGGTATTTCCAACAATTAACAAAAGAAAGGAGTTCGTGCTTAACTCAGAGTTAACTAGAAAAATCCCTTTTATTAAAATACATTGTAAATATTGCTCATTAATTTCCTGTACTTGAAACATTTTTTCTGAACCCCTAAGCACCACTTAGGATAGATGAAGCAAACCTGATGTGTTTTATTCTTCTCTATTACCTGAGTATGAATGTGACATTTAACTCCTTGAACTTCTTGCTCCTCTGAAGACATGAGGTGCTATCACTGGATTTCTCTAAGTAAGAATAGCAGAAGTCGTTTTAAAAAAATACTGCAGATAGTTTTTCTTTCCAAATTTTATGAAAATAGGTATAGGAAAGAAAATCTGAATGTCCTTGGTGTCAGTATCCATCTGCTCCATGCATCCAGGCAGGGCTTCTTTCCATTCCCAAAGAGGGGGACAGTCTGCCTAACAGGGCCATTGCTACCAACTGTGGAGCCAGCTCTTAGACTGAGGTAAGGTCTGAACATTGGGTGTTTCGTTGTTGAAAATATCAGCCCTATCATAAAAACAAAAATGCAGATGAGGACACAGCCATCAATACTTTTATAAAACCTTTCCTACTTTAACTTACTCTGATCTCTTTTGCATCTCTGCAACTGCATATGAATTTGTAGATTAAAACAATGATTTTCTTACATTTTTCTAAACTCAGTGTGTATTTAAGGCTGTTTTTAAGAGCTCTGCTAATCCTGTTTTGGTGCTGTTTATTATTGACTAAACAGCTACCTGATGGGTAAAAGTAACTCAGAGCTTCATCTATGACAAGTAGTTTCTTGACTCTCCTTGTCTAAAGAATATATGGATTAGTGAAAATTAATAAATGACCATAACAGGAAAGACAGACTAGAAGTCCATCAAAATGGGGGCTTCAAGCTCCATCAAAATGGCAGTAAGCTTCCTAATGAAGAGAAAACTTCCAGCTCAAAAGCAATAATTTATGTTCTGCGGGAATTAATGAGTTTTTCAGTGAGTTCAGGAGGATTTAGAGATGGAGAAAATTACCCTCTTCTCATCAGTCCAAGCAAACAACTCCCACAGTGGTGTGTTTAAGTGGAATAGAAGGTCACGTTTTAAAAAAATACGACATATAAACAGCATCCATTTCTAGGATAAATTTTGGAGTAGCTTAAAACATTAAAAAATAACTTTGACTAAATAGATGAGCATTAGACATTACTAAATTAGGAAAGGAGGATGGGTTTGCAGAAAATGAACTGGACAGAGATAAAAGAATTAACATTGACCCATGTACACATATGCATACATCATATAAATTTTACCTTCAAATTATATCTCCATTAGACTTTTCAAAACACTTCTTTCATTCTTCTGTCTTCTAATGAAACAGTTCTTCGACATATCAGTCGTAGAGTGCTGGAATTGTCAGGAGTGGTCAAATAAATGAACAAGATATATCTTAATACCAATGAATGCAGGGGGTCAAGTCACCTGATAACCTACAAACTGTTGCTTGAGTTCTGGCAGCAGATTTAGTTACTATTTAAGTCCAGAGTCTTACCATGCTTCCTAAGGCTAAGTTGTTCAAGCATTTTTTTAATCATGTTGTTTGGGAGCACTTTCTATCATCCTTCCATTCTTAAAGGTATGGGAGGTGCTTCTCATAAAATTTTGAATAGCATCATCTCTGCCACTTCTTGCTACTCTTGAAAGATATTTTTTA